>NT_187604.1:0-263054 GCF_000001405.40 Homo sapiens | reverse complement strand
TTGGCTCACTGCAAGCTCCACCTCGGGGGTTCATGTCATTCTCCTGCCTCAGCCTCCCAAGTAGCTGAGACTACAGCTGCCTGCCACCACATCCGGCCTTTTTTGTATTTTTAGTAGAGATGGGGTTTCACCGTGTTAGCCAGGATGGTCTCGATCTCCTGACGTCATGATCCACCCACCTTGGGCTCTCAAAGTCCTGGAATTACAGGCATGAGCCACTGCACCCGGCCCAAAAGCTTTGTGTTTTTACAGATATTAGACATGTTTCTTGTTTAAGAAAAAAAATCTTAACGAAAACGTAGGAGAATAAGAGAAACATTTTTCCAAAAAAGAGAAATCATTGTGATTATTTTATCTTATTAGAATGTTGGATAATATAGTCTGCTTCATTAATCATCAAGCATGCTATGCATTTTCCATTTTTATAGGATCTGTATCTCAGTTAAGATAATACTGGTAATTTTTATACTGTAATCAAAGATGAAAAATGTAGGCCAAAATCATAGACCTTGCATAGAAGCTGGATAATGAAGACAGCTATAGAGAAAAACACAGATACACACACACGGACACACATATATATATAAAGTATACACACATATATTTTTTAAAGTTTTAAAGCTGTTAAAGCAAAAGCTGGCCCCTCTTCTCTTCCAGAGTGGGAGGCCTCTCCCCTCTCTTAGAGTGGGTGCGGAGAGCGGTCGCATGGGCAGCTTTCCTTGTGAGCCACAGGGCCCTCTGGACACGCTGCTGTCTGGCCACGCCCCCTTTCCCTTTCATCTTTCTCATTGACCAATGGGCTTGGAGCATTAAGGCCACGCCCCTATTCCGCATTCTACTGGGGCCCTGGTTACGCCTCCTCTGGCTCAGTCACACAGCTGCCTGGAAGGTGACTGGAGGCCTTGATCGGTTCTCATTGCGATTTTGCTGCTGTGGCCCCAACCCTGCCTCCCTCCCCACCCTGCGATGGCAGAAGAAACTCAACACAACAAATTGGCTGCAGCCAAGAAAAAGGTAAAAACGCACTAGGTCATAGCCCCTCAACCCAGCCACAGATCCCCTCTGATGACAAGACCCCTGCCAGAGTCTATACGACTCCTGAGGCACACTGGACTGTTCCCCCCAACCCCGGTGCCTTGGGCTACCCCCATCAAAGTTTTGTCAGTCAGCCCCACCCCTTCAGAAAGCAGCCCAGTCCTTGCCCTCGCCAATCACCCCAGGGTGACTTTGGGTGGGTGACTCCTGGGACTTCCCGCTCCGTTACTGGGCCCTCATCTCCTGCCGCCCCAAGCTTGATCTCCCTGGGCTCTTTGGGCTCTCATCTCCAAGGAGCCAGGCCCCACCCTCGCCAATCATCCCTGGGTGACTTTGGGCTGGTGACTCCTGGGACTCCCTGCTGCAGACTCTGCCCTCCCCTCCTGCTGCCTCAAGGTCGACCTCCCTGGGTTCTTTGTGCTGGCGTCTCCAAGGAGCTGGGTCCCAACCCTGTGCTTCCCTCCCCCATCGTGGAGCGGCGACTTAGACATGGTGCTGACACGGTCCCTCCCCCTGACCAGGAGGATTGGAATGTTGTGATGTCACAGCCCACCTAGTAACTGCCGTTACTGCAAGACTGGCCTTTGATCTTATGACCCAGTCCCCTAAGCGTTCTCACCCCGTTTCTGGTTCCTCTGGTCACAGGACAAATTTCCAGCTGGAAGGGGAATGGAGACTATGGGACCTAGGAGCAAGAGGTTCCAGGCTGCCTCACTCCCTTACAGATGTTGACGGTGGGAAAAGCCTACACTTCCCCCATGAACTCAAAACATTGACAGTATCTCTGGGTGGCAATGAGAGAATGGGTTTGGTTTGGTTTTCTCCCAGGCTTCTACTTTCCAGAGAGATTTTAACATTTTTTTTCTGAGTTCTCCACCTCATATTCTAATTCTCCATGGTTCTGGGACCAGACTCTCCTTCAGTCAGTGGTCTCTGAAGTGACATTTGCTCATCTTCTGTGGAATAGATCTTGGGAAACTGAACTTGACACCTTGAATCTTCCTCATATTATCTCAACCTTGGGTACTTTGAGTGCCACAGGATAAATGTGGGACATCTTTCTGAAGCATCAGTTTCCCTTGATTCTCTTGAGATCAAGAGAAAAAACATGAATATACTTAGGGATGACAGTCACATAGGTTTCTAAGAGTATACCAGCCCTCTCTCTGAAATGAGGCTTGGGTTGTCCTCTTTCTGATGAATTCTGATTTAAGAGAAAGGCTGCCTTCTGCCGTGAGGACACATTGATATAAAAGTTTGAGAGGTACTGGTGCACTTCTTCACACTAACAGACGTGTGAGGATGTATGACTCTAAACCACATGGCATACAGTTCCTGCCTACTTAATGTTTACTTTTCTACCTCTGCCTCTGGTTTTGGTCCCTGGCAGCTGCTGATTCTTGGCAAAACCTCAGAGCTTGGAGTCAGAAGACTGAGTTTCAAAGTGCCAGTATTGCCTTTTTCTTTTTTTTTTTCTAGCCATGATATCAATCCTTCTCAGTCACTAAATGAGTGTGACAACACCTTGTACAGTTGTTGGTGTCATTAAATCAGATAGTGTGTAAGTGTATTTTGTAAAAACTGTAAAGGAGGATGTGGCTGTAGGGGCTGACGGTTCTCATGAGTATTACTGCTCTTCTTTCCAACAGTTAAAAGAATATTGGCAGAAAAACAGCCCTAGAGTTCCAGCAGGAGCGAACAGGAACAGGAAAACAAATGGCAGTATCCCTCAGACAGCCACTTCTGGTGGTTGCCAGCCACCTGGGGATGTGAGTCTTGGCTGACCAGGCTTCTGGGGACAGGGGGCCCAAGGGGCAATAGAGGGTAATTGTTAAGATTGTGGATGGACTGCTGGGTACGGGTTAAGAATTCTGGCTTTAGCCGGGTGTGGTGGCCCACGCCTGTAATCCTAGCACTTTGGGAGGCCAAGGCAGGCGGATCATGACGTCAGGAGATCGAGACCATCCTGGTTAACACGGTGAAACCCTGTCTCTACTAAAAATACAAAAACATTAGCCAAGCGTGGTGGCGTGTGCCTGTAGTCCCAGCTACTCAGAAGGCTGAGGCAAGAGAATGGTGTGAACCTGGGAGGTGGAGCTTGCAGTAGCCAAGATTATGCCACCGCACTCCAGCCTGGTGACAGAGCAAGACTCTGTCTCAAAGAAAAAAAAAAAAAAGGAATTCTGGGTTTGAATCCTGCCTCTCCATCTGCTCTGCTAGGGATATGATTTAGGGCAAGTTGCTAGACCTCATCGGGCCTCTCTTTTCACATCTGTATAATAGAGGTGTTATTGTTTCACTTCCATTTGTGAAATTTTCATGAGATTTGTTATTGTTGTTTTTATGTTAATCCCTAGTACATGGCCTGCTGTAAACACTCAGGACACCCAGGATATGGTCTTTGCTGTTTGATTTTCCTCATCCCCAGTCTCAAGGGGAAGCCAGGACAATGAGAACAGCCACTTGCCATCAGGAGTCACTGAAAGGGCCCCAGGATGGGATGGTGGGGAGATAAGAACCATGAGAGAAGTTGGCACAAAGGAGTTATGGGACAAAGGGTCCAAGATAGGCAGAAAAGAAAATGTTGCCAGTTGATGGGGAAGAAAGGAAGTCAGAGGGCTCAGACACTGTGGGGGACAGAACATCTCCATGTGCACTCTCATCTCTTGTAGTCAGCAACAGGTTTTCACAGGGAAGGCCCTACATCATCTGCTACCCTGAAAGATCTGGAGGTAAGAGGCTCTGGGCAGAGGTGCAGTGACCCTTCGGGTCAGCCCTCCAACCTCCTCCTCCAGGAGGGACTGGGTGCCCCTCTGCCAGCTGAGACAGCCCACACACCCCAGCCCTAATGATTGTTCTCTCTACCTCTCCCCCGACTCCTGCTCCACCTCCTCCTCTCTGCATGAACCTCAGAGCCCGTGCCAAGAACGAGCAGTAGTCCTGGATTCAAGGTCCGTAGAAATCAGTCAACTGAAGAACACCATCAAATCTTTGGTAAGAGTCCGGTGGGGTCCCCTGATTCCACGCTGCCAATCCTGGGCTCCAGTTTCCCCTTGGGGCCCTGAAGAAAGGGGCTGGGGGTCCCTGGTGCCCGGGACAAATAGGGAGCTTGGGTGCCCAGGCCTCACCTGGAGGGACCCCAGAGCATGCAGCATGGCTCTTCTTTTGCTGCCCTCTTTGCCGACTCTCTCCTCTCCAGACACCCCTGCTCGAGTCCTTGCTACACACGCCCTGGGGTTGTTGCCTCTTGGGGAAGTGCTAGCCTGACTGGTTGTCAAGGGCCCCGTATTTCTGCCATGACTCAGTCCCTAATTTGCTCTTTGATTCTGGACAAGCCACCTCTCCTTTTTGGGCTCGTGTTTCCAGAGGAGGTAGTGAGTATCAAAGGTCTCTGTTAGCTCTCGAGTCTGAGATTTAAAGGCCCCCGAGAATGGAAACCTCAGGGCTAAGGGCTCCTGTCTGTCCTTTTCTATCCTATATCTGCTGTGAAGAACCGTACCTGGCCCATACGTGCTCAGTAGGTGTTTATTGAATGAACCCACTTTTCTAAATCACAAGCTGCCAGAAGGAGGGGCCTTTCTGAAACTCCATCTCTAGAGGTTTATGTTGCTGTCCTCTCAAGAGATTCCAGATTCAGACTTTGAGTTCTGTGGCTGTGGGCAAAAGCCCACAAAGACCCAAATCCTCTGTCCTTGGGAGCTTGAGGAGAGTTTACCAGTTCGTGTTCCCATTATGTCTGAGAACTTTGCCTTTAAAATCCATTCCTGGCCCCTGCCTACCGCTTCCTGGTCTGGGGAATAGAGTTGAGGGGGCCACCCTCCATCACCTTATTTGACTCTCCCCACAGAAACAACAGAAGAAACAAGTGGAACATCAGCTGGAAGAAGTAACGTGATTTCGTTTCCTTGCAACATGACTGCTGGAAGAAGGCTCACCCTTCAGATTCCACCCCATCCCCTCAGGGCCCCGATAACCTGGTCCCATGGGTGGGCCTGTCCTGGGGCATTGGTGGCATTCTGGGGGCATGTCTCTTGCTGTGCCATCTCTGCCTCCCCCTGGTAAGAGCTCTGTCTTCCTCTTCCTACAGGAAAAGAAAGCAAACATCAAGAAACAGAAAGCCAAAAGGGTGCTAGAGGTGAGTGGAGGGTGTGCAGTTTCCTCCTGTCCTCCGGAGAAGGTTTCTTTCCTTCTCTTTCAGCACTTGCTTGGCTTTTCTCCCAAAGGTTCAAATCCAGACATTGAACATACAGAAAGAGGAACTAAATACGGACCTGTACCACATGAAACGTTCTCTCAGATACTTTGAAGGTGGGAATCTGGGCACCCTGTCATCCTTCAACCTGGCACTTTGACAGGTCTTCAGGGGGAGTCCTTTGGGCCCCATCTCAACTCTCTCATTACAGAAAAGTCCAAGGATCTGGCTGTCCGCCTGCAACATTCATTGCAGCGTAAAGGAGAGTTAGAGAGTGTTCTCTCTGATGTCATGGCCACACAGAAGAAGAAGGCAAACCAGGTGAGTCCAACCACCTGCCCCATCCCCTGGGAGTCTGCCTTTGCAGATGGAGGAGTGAGCCTAAAGGTCCCTTCTGCAGGATGGCGTGTCCTGCCCAGAAGGCAGCATGGCCATTTCTTGCTACTTTTTTGTATGGTTTTTAGTGGCAGCCTGGGGCTGAGTCAGCTGCTGTGGGTGAGTTGGGGGTCACTGTGTGGAGTGAGCACTGGACGCAGAGCTTGGAGGCCAAGTGCCTGCCCCGCCCTTACCTGGCTGTGGTCTTGGGCAAGTCCTAGGTGGGGTATTGGGTACTTGTACTGTGAAGGTACAGAAGAGTACCTTTAGTATGTTACCATTTCTGTAGAAAGAGGAAACGTGTGCATGTGTGTGTGTGTGTGTGTGTGTGTACATACTATGATAATATACATAAAACATGTCTGCAAGGGTTCATAAAAAATTCAGGAGAGAGCAACAAGATGGCCGGGAGATACTTCCCTTCTGTACCTTCTGAGTTTTGGACTATGCAAATGTATCATCCTTTCAAAAAGTGAACAAAAGATTAATTTTCCCCTTCCTATCTGTGGTTGTGAGGATTAAATGGGATTGCTAGCATGGTATCTGGTGAAGCACTCCATAAAAGTTCAAACAGTGGTAATAATAACGGTAATAACAATAGCAATATTATCTGATCTCTCTGGGCCTCTGTTAGCCAGCTATAAATTCAATCTCATTCCCTGTCCGTTCCAACTTTACTGTGTTCTTTTAAAAACCAGACCATGGGCTTGGAAATGCCATGATCTTTACTGACCGAGTTGTATATTGGGCCTAGCCCTAGCCCTGTTAAGGGGCACTGTGTGGAAATGCCCAGGCTCTCCAGATTGAAACTTCTCACTCTTTGCCATCCAGTTGTCCAGCCCCAGTAAAGCAGGTACGGAGTGGAAGTTAGAGCAGTCCATGCGGGAGGAGGCACTACTGAAAGTGCAGCTGACACAGGTGAGGTTTTCTGAGGGAGTTATGTGGAAGGAAGATGACCCCAGGTGGCCAGGAGCAGGTGAGGACCAGTGACAGCCCTTCCTAACTTCTGTGCCCATTCTTGCAGTTGAAGGAGTCATTTCAACAACTCCAATTAGAAAGACATGAATATGCTGAACATCTAAAAGGAGAGAGGGCCCGGTGGCAGCAGAGGATGAGAAAAATGTCGCAGGAGGTGAGATCTGACCCTTCAGCCCCCCCACATTAGATAGGTCACTGGATCTTTCTGGTCATCTGTAAAATGGGAATAGTACAGCCAGAGGTGGTCATGGGTCTGGGCTTTGTGGAGGTGGGGGCAGAGAGGGAGAGGGCAGCCTGTCCAGCCTCCAGCCCCTCTCTCCAGGGCCCTTTCCCCTTGTGCTTTGGGCAGATTTGCACATTAAAGAAAGAGAAGCAGCAAGATATGCGTCGGGTAGAGAAGCTGGAGAGGAGCTTGTCCAAACTCAAAAACCAGATGGGTAAGATGGGGCTGGCATGACCTGGGAGCAGGACTGGCATCAGAGGGCTGTGAGGGTGGCTTAGAGTGCCCCAGGGAGGTGGGTGGATGGAAGGGCTTTGAGGCAGAGGGAAAGAGGTCTGTGCCAGGAGACGGCAAGTCTTGTCATCTCAATGAGCCTCAGTGTCCCCATCAGCAAAGAGGGCCCGTTGTCAGCCACCCGCAGTGCTCTTTCTCTGAAAGTGCTCTGGAAGACTGGCTACCATCTGGGTGTGAGGAATCATTAGCAGTGAGGCCAAGTTTGAGGAGCCTGAGAGGAGCTGTGGACCAAGAGGAGGTTTTTTCTTTTCCGAGAATCCAGAGGCCCTTATTATCTGCTTCCTTTCTCAGCTGAACCCTTGCCCCCGGAGCCCCCAGCAGTGCCCTCTGAGGTGGAGCTGCAGCACCTGAGGAAGGAACTAGAGAGAGTGGCAGGAGCGCTCCAGGCCCAGGTCAAAAACAATCAGCGCATAAGTCTCCTGAACCGGGGACAAGAAGAGAGGATTCGGGAGCAGGAAGAGAGGCTTCGGAAGCAGGAAGAGAGGATTCAGGAGCAGCACAAGAGCCTTCAGCAGCTGGCCAAGCCACAGAGCGTCTTCGAGGAGCCAGTGCGTTGCCCCAGCTGGGGAGCCTGCCCTCCTCCCTAGCCCTCCGGGCCTTTGTTTCCCCACCTCTAAAATGGGGCAGTGTAGCCCTCACATGAAATGTTACTTCTAAAGGCACCTGTGAGCCAGGTGGCTGTGGGAGAGAGGGGGTGATTTTTCTAACCTGTCTCCAGCCTTCCCAGTGCCATGGGAGGCAGACACCAAGTTCTGGGGTCTCCAGCTGCAGTGGGTGGCTGCTGATTGCTTCTCTCTGTCCAGAACAATGAGAACAAGAGCGCACTGCAGTTGGAGCAGCAAGTAAAGGAGCTACAGGAGAAGCTTGGTGAGGTGAAGGAGTCGGAAACCTCCACCCCATCCAAGAAGGGCTGGGAGGCGGGCAGCAGCCTCTGGGGAGGGGAGGTACCAGGCCAGAGGCAGCTTCCAGCCTGGGGGCTGGTGACCACAGCACCCCCCAGGGCAGTCCTGTTTCTTGCTTCCTGCCTCTGACTTTTAAAGGTGGGTAGCCCTGGGCTCCTCTCAGGTCTGGACATCATCATCCTAGCTAGAGGCATGGAGCCCCCAATCACAGGGGAAGAGACAGTGGTATAACAGGCTCCTTATGCCAGGTGCAGTGGCTCATGCCTATAATCCCAGCACTTTGGGAGGCTGAGGCAGGAGAATCACTTGAGGTCGGGAGTTTGAGATCAGCCTGGCCAATGTGGTAAAACCTCATCTCTACTAAAATTACAAAAAAAAAAAAAAAAAAAAATTAGCAGGACATTGTGGCACATGACTGTAATTCCACCTACTCGGGAGGCTGAGGCACGAGAATTGCTTCAACCCAGGAGGTGGAGGTTGCAGTGAGCTGAGATTGCACCACTGCACTCCAGCCTGGGCCACAGAGTGACACTCTTGTCTGAAAACAAAACAAAAAGACTCCTTAGATTAAAACTGGATTCCAGCCTCGGTTCCACTGGTCACCATTCAAGTACTTTGCATCTCTAAGTCTCTGTTTCTTTAACTTCAAAGGGAAGTTAGCATTTTCCTTACAGAGGTGCTGAGGATTAAATGAGAAGAGGGTATGAGATTTGAGGCTGGGGAAGGAGGCATGGGGTTCTAGGAAAGGGAGGCAGTCACTTAGGCCTGGAGTAAGGGGACAGGGGCCTGGGCAGCTGACAGAGCCCCACAGTGCCCTCGCTACCCTATTAATGGGCCCAGAATCTGGAAACCAGCCACCACGTGCCCTCACACCCAGGGTCTTCCTGCAGGTGGAGCTGAAGAGCCAAGAGGCTCAGAGTCTGCAGCAGCAGCCAGACCATTACCTGGGTCACCTGCAGCAGTACGTGGCCACCTATCAGCAGCAGGTGGCCGCCTATCAGCAGCTGACCTGTGAGAAGGAGGCGCTGTACAGGCAGTGACTGCAGCAGACCCAGCTAATGAACCAGCTGCAGCAGCAGGAAGCTTGGGGCAAAGCAGTGGCTGACATGGCCTGCCAAAAGTTGCAGGAGACCCAGGGGAGGGAGCTGCGGAGGATGGGGCCGTGAGGGGGACGACCTGGCAAACTCCATCCCTTCTCACTCTTTCCTGGCCCCTTAGGAGCACCTGGAAGCTGCCAGCCAGCAGAACCAGCAGCTAACAGCCCAGCTGAGCCTCATGGCTCTCCCTGGGGAAGGTACGGGAGACCGCTCAGAGGAAGAGGAGAGAGCCCCAGGAGGAAGGGGGGACTGCTAGCAGCATAGGATTGAGGAGTTGGAAGAGACCTTTAGAACAGCTGGTCATTATGCCGACCGGGTGCCTGCACTAAGTTGGGCATCAGTGTGGTGACCTCCTGTGAGCGGGGGGCCACCAAGTTGCCTAAGGATGGCTGAACTGGCCAAGGTCAGAAAGGGAGCAGGTCAGAACTCCCACATCGACCAGTAGTGGGAATGTGCCTGGGCGGAATAGCAAGATCTTGATTCTTAAAAGTAAAAATAAAGAACAACAGCTCATTCCTCTCTGGGGAGGGGCTGGCTCAGGATTACACAGTGAGGGTGGAGGTAGAGGTGGGCCCACAGTACCTCCCTTGTTGGGTTGTCTGAAGACCCCTCTGGCCACCCCCCACAGGACACGGAGGAGAACATCTGGACAGTGAGGGGGAGGAGGCACCTCGGCCCATGCCGAGTGTCCCAGAGGACCTGGAGAGCAGGGAGGCCATGGTGAGCCTGACTCCCCCTGCACCCATTTTGCCACCTTTCTCTGTGGTCCCTCCAAGACCCCTTTATGCTCTTCGTTTCCCTGCCTTCTGATTTCTCTGGACCCTCACCCCTTCCGAGAGCCAGTGGTCAGACACCATTTCACCTGTGGCCAACAGGTGCACTCTCTGAGGCCCCAAGGGAAGGGGCTGCGCTCCACCTCTCTGCCCCATTTCTTCTGTGTATGCCCCTAGAAGAATGCTCACATCTTGCCCTCAGGTGGCATTTTTCAAGTCCGCTGGAGCTAGTGCCCAGGAGAAGCAGGCACAGTTACAAGAGCAGGTGAAAGAGCAGAGGGTATGCTGCCAGCGCCTGGCTCACCCGGTGGCCTCGGCCCAGAAGGAGCCAGAGGCAGCCAGAGGCCCTGGAGCCCCAGGGCCTGGGGGCGAGTCTGTGAGTGGGGAGACCCACTGGGCCCTGCAGGAAGTCACGGAGAAGCTGGCCCATGGCAGGACTCACCTCCACCTTCTCCATGACTTGAAAATGCCACCTGAGGGCAGGTCGCTGCCGAGATGTGACTGCAATATTTTGGCTCCAGAGCAGCTTTATGGACCACCTGGAGGAGAAGGCAGACCTGAGTGAGCTGGTGAAGAAAAAAGAACTCTGCTTCATCCACCACTGGCGAGAGAGATGCCATCAGTGAGTGGGAGGCCAGGGCACGGCAGGGGGAGCTACAGGGCCGTTGGAGGGGCCCCAGCGTCTGAGCCCTGTCCTCCCGCAGGAAAACCCATCACCTTTTATCAGAACCAGGGGGCCGTTCCAAAGATGCAGCACTGGGAGGAGGACACCATCAGGCTGGAGCTCAGGGAGGAGATGAAGGTAGGTTGTGCAACATCTCTGTGGGGGTGGGGGTGGGGGTGGGTGTGAGGGTGGGCGCAGGCAGCGGCATGGCAGCTGAGCACCCCTCCCTCCAGGTGAAGCTGCTGGAGCTGCAGCAGATGGTATTGCGGCTTACAGCAACTACAACAATGGGCACAGAAAATTCCTGGCCGCTGCCCACAACCCTGCTGATGAGCCCGGTCCAGGAGCCCCAGCCCCCCAGGAGCTTGGGGCTGCAGACAAGCATGGTGGTGAGTAGAGCCCTCAGGTGGGGTGGGCAGGCAGGAAGAGGGGGCTCCCACTGTGCTCAGATCCCTGCCTCCCTCTCTCCAAAGATCTTTGTGAGGTGAGCCTCACCTCCTCTGCCCAAGGAGAGGCCAGGGAGGATCCTCTCCTTGACAAGCCTACTGCACAGCCGATCGTGCAGGACCACCAGGAGCACCCAGGCTTGGGCAGCAACTGCTGTGTGCCATTCTTTTGCTGGGCTTGGCTGCCAAGAAGAAGGAGATAAACATCACCATCATCAAACAGCTGCTCAAGAAATTTTTAAATAAGAAACCAAGTTATGGGGTTAATCTCCTACACAATTCATTTACTTCCTTTGAATGTTAGAGTCACTCATGATTATTTGTGTTTCTAATTTATAGTTTAAGTTTATTTATAAAAAGTTAAAAGAGAGTGGGTGTCTGTGGCTCTCACTGATGTTCACTCTGGCATCCTTTTAGCATTTTTCTTTTTTAATTTCATAATTGTAGGTCATTAGCATGCATATCGAGTTTGCCCTTACGTGGTGGGAGTTCAAACACACAAAGACCCACTCTTTGCCCAAAACTGTTCTCGCTGGTTTGGAATAGGCTGCCATGCTTTTTTAATGTTATTGCAGCATGTATATTCACTACAGAATTCAGACAAAATTTGCCTATGTTCTGCTGTTGTTTGATCTAATCTTAATCACAGTGAGCTCTTCGTTAGCTCAATATGTAGTTTGCCCCCAAGTGTGCACTGTTTCTTACTTTGTAATATGCCACTATGAGTACTGACATTTAGAGTTGTTTAAAGGCCAAGAACTGGAAACAGCCTTTCCTCCATTTTCTGTGTATTGGTGATGGGAGTGATAACCTTTTGGGGGAGCTTTTTAAATCTCACAGAAGAGGAAAGTGGCCTCCTCTGGCAGGTATGTGCAGGATAGAGTGTGTTTCATCTGTTCCGGTGCCAGGAATTAGCAGTATATTATGGTGGTTCCCTTAGGATTTCTATGTGCTCTGGGCTCATGAAGATATTGCATCATGAGCTGCAGCAGTTGCACTCTTTTTGGATGACCTAAAAAGGGCTTATTTCTGAGGAATGAAAGGTTCCCATCGTTGACTGTGGATGTGGAAAACCTTTCCTAGCTTAGAGCATTTGTATCTACAATACATTTTAAAGTCAGAGTTCATGTTACCTGTTTTAATCACATGACTACATGTCCCAGTACACAAAAGGGCACTGGTTGGCATTCTTCTTAATGTATTTAGTGAAGATCATAACAAATCCTTTATGAGTTCAAACGTCCCTGGAACAGGCATACAGGCTCTAGTCAAGAATGAATTAGAGTGAAGGAAAGCTGTGTGACACCTGGAATTCCTCTCTGTTCACGGATATTCTTTGAGGCTTGAAGATTGATTTTACCATCTAGACCTCTTTGGCTAATACCTATTCTTCAACCACCTTGGTTACTCTGACATAGGAATTTACTTCCTTTTCCTTGAATGGAAAACACTTTAAAAAATAATAGAAACATTATTATAAACTAATATATGTGAGATACTTAGTTGAAACAAAAAGGAGTTTTAGTAGACGGTATTATACTATCTTTGAAAATCAAGGAGAAGTTTATGAAACTTAAAATGTGTACAAACTGCAGTGCAATCTACTGTTCGTGAATGTCAATGTATTATCAGGAAACGTGTCTATACAATCACAGAGTTATATTTTCTCACAGACTTCTTTACAAAGTGAAATATGTTTTTGTACCTCTGGGTTTCTGTTCGGGACATATTTTGTGCAATATTTATGTGATTGTGCCTATGCATGATGAATGAATGCATTTCAGTTATGTATTGCCTAAATCGTAACTTGATGATGCTTGGGAAAGACTCAACAGTTAAAACTTCATGAAGTTCTAATGTCTGTGTTCCAAAACACATCACATTGTTAGGATGCAGGGAGATAGGTGTGTGTGCTCCCTGCGGTGGGGATTTCTAGTTACTAGATCATCTCCATTTTTAGCATTTGGCATCCTCATGATACTTCTATAAATATGACATTAACAGGAGAGCAACAATACGATTTTACCGATGGAATAACAGATTTGCTGGCATTCACTGAAAGAGTGCAAATATTCGGTCCTTGTGACTTCAACTGACTCTTCCAAATTTTATGAATGTATCAATGTATTAGATAAACCCAGTTTCAGAATGATAAAGAAAAAATGTTAGACCAAATAATGCGGCTAATTAACAGTGGTACGATTTCTAGCCCGTGGGTTTAAAATGCACTTAAAGTCCTGTTCTCGCCTTTTATTTTCTGAACTTGCCGCTTTTGCATTCTTTGAGTTCAGTTTAAAGACGGTTACTTTAAGAGCATTTTAAACCCTCGGGCTAGAAATCGGACCACTGTTAATCAGCCACATTATTTGTCTAACGTTTTTTCTTTTATCATTCTGAAACTGGTTTATCTAATACATTGATAAATTATTTCAAAGGTACTTTTATCGTTGAAATCACTTCACTTTTACCCTGATAAATATCAGTGACTAGGAATGACCTTCGGATAGCGTTTAGCATCTGTAACCAATCTGACAATAATGTGTTCATGAGGTGCCTATGGATTAAATCACACACTGGCATATTTAAGCTGAAGGTCAGTCTGGAAAATAAATTTACTATATTGACTGAAATACCACTCTTTGTGTAGGTATTTGTCATATATTTAAGAAAAAGCTAAAAAGAATGGAAATTGTATGACAATAACTTAAGTCTTTCTCCAAAGTGCATGCATTCTTTTGCGATACCTCATTCAGCCGAGTATTTGTGCTCTTCCTCATTCTGTATAAGGCAGCTTTCAGTTTGCTTAGAAGGCAACATTGGAATGTTAGAGTTCATCAGAAACACAGAATTTTAAACTGTGAGTTCCACTGAATACATTTTAATTTCTGTAGGAAGAATCAAAATACCTATTTAAAGATGGCAATATATAATAATCATTTTAAAAGTATTTGATTAAACCTGATAATTTTCCAGAAATGAAAAAAAAAATCAGCTCTAAAACCAAAGCTGATTTTAGAAAATTTGAAAATGTAAATCAGCCCTATCCATAATATAGTTTCTCTAAAACTTTAAAGAGTCGTTTTAAAATAATATAACTATTAAAATATGTAACTGCTATCTTAATGTTCTGAAATAATTTAAAACATTTTAAAATATGAATACTGTAGTATAAAAGAAAGAAACAGTGGGAACGAAAAGCAGAGAAAGAAATGCCAATTCCAGTCCAAAGTTTTATTTGCCAAGTTTTCTTAGAATGAATTTTACCAGTTTATGAATTATTGTAAACAGAATGTGTCGTGGAAATACTGAAAGATTTTTCCCTAGAGTGGCCTTATTGACTGCTGGTGTGATGCCACTGTAATGTAATAAATTATTAAGTTGTTTGAATGTGTTGTTTTTGCCTTAAAATTTTATTTTGCGTTTCTTGAAAACTATAGTATTAAAGGTATTGATACTGTGCAAATGCTGGGCATGCTTGGCATGAGATAATGTGTTTCATTTTTACAAAGTTGTAATATAACTATGCAAGTGTTTATTAAAAACCAAAATAAAAAAGTTATGGGTTTATTAAAAAACTTTTATTAAAGTTTTATAAAAAGTTATTTTATTAAATAACTTTATTTAAAAAAGTTATGGGGTGAAAAAGTTATGGGATAAAAATGTAAAAAAGTTGTGGCAAAAAAACTTCTGGGAAAAAAGTAGAAAAAAGTTTTATGAAAAGTTACAAAAAAAGTTATGAAAAAGAAGTTATGGGATTTTTTTAAAAAGTCATGGAATAAAAATAAAAATTAAAAGCAGGCCCCTGTCAGCAAAGCCTGGAGAAGTGGGGCTGGAGTCTCCACCGCCACCATGTCCCTACCACCTCTTCCCAGGCACCCCTTTACAATTAGGGTAGCAGCACAAGACCTCTGTCTAATGGGGAAAGACAAACAGACCATTTGCCACCCTGACCAGGGCTGAGTCCCTAAATTTCTGGATGATGATGATTGTTATTTAAGAGCCAGAGGCTGGTGGAGTTGGTTTGTTTGGAGGAGGCCTGATGGTCCCCTTACTCTCACCATGGCAACGTTTCCCTCAGGGGGGCTCCCATCTTCTTATTCAGAGAGGTAGCTGAGGCCAGAAAGTGGGGCTAACTGTGGACCAGCGAGGGCATGGGCTGCTGGGGTGGCCCACCTTCCCCGGTGTACATACTGTGTCTGTGTAACATTTTGTATATTCCAGAGGGTAGGGCTGCCCCTGTATCATACCTAGCAGAGGTTGGAGCTGTCACATGGGGAGGAGGTTCTAATAATTATTTGTGGCTGGGAAACTTATTTATTGCTAGCGTAGGACAGAGGAAGGAGGCGGGGATGGGGTCGTGGCTCTCTGGTGGTATGATCACAGCTTACTGCAACCTCCAACTCTTAGGCTCAAGTGATCCTCCCACCTCAGCCTCCCAGGTAGCTGGGAGTATAAGCATGCACTACTATGCCTGGCTAATTTTTAAATTTTTTTGTAGAGAAAAGGTCTTACTATGTTGCCAATGCTGGTCTTGAACTCCTGGCCTCAAGTAATTCTCCCATCTTGGCCTCCCAAAGCACTGGGATTACAGGCACGAGACATTGCTCCTGTCCATTAGGTTTTCTCTTTATTACTGTTTTGTTGTTGTGGTTGTTGTTTTGTTTTGTTTTGTTTTGTTTTTTGACAGAGTCTTGGTCTGTTGCCCAGGCTGGAGTGCCGTGGTGTGATCTCGGCTCACGGCAACCTCTGCCTCCTGGTTCAAGCAATTCTCATGCCTCAGTCTCTCGAGTGTCTGGGGTTACAGGCATGAGCCACTGCGCCCCTGGCTAATTTTTGAATTTTTAGTTGAGACAGAGTTTTGCCGTGTTGGCCAGATTGGTCTTGAACTCCTGCCTCAAACAATCCGCCCTCCTCAGCCTCCCAAAGTGCTGGGATTACAGGGGTGAGCCACTGCTCCTGGCTAAGATCCCATCTCTATTTAAATAAAAAAGGAAAATTCAGAGCATGTGGAATACAGAACACCAAAGTCCAAAGTTATTTACCTCTCTGAGGTAATCTGTGTAAACAATTTGAAATATATCTTTTCAAGTTCATGCTTGCTATGCATATACATACATATACACACATACGTTGACATAGTCCCCCTTCCCTGCTGTCATGCTATTAGAGTCTTCTTTTTTTTGTAGAAATTGGACCAACTCTATGTTCTTTGCTGGCCCATATTTCTCCTATTCAGTGATGTGTTACAAATGTGTGTTTAAGTCAATGTATGCAACTCTTCAATATCATTTTAAAAGGTTAAATATACGATCATATGAAGGCATTAGAATTTATTCCAACAGTTCCATTTTGCACATTTAATAATTTCCATTGGTTTGCCAGGGAGAACATTCTCGCGTCATGGCTAAATCCTTTTGTATGGCCATCCTTAATTATTCCCCTAAGATAAACTTTTAAATAAAGTTGCTAGATGAGTCTCATTTCTTAAAAAGTTCTTTTTTGGTAGTTTATATGTAACACTGTAGTTTTATATGTACTTGCAAATAGCTATAGTGCCAGTAAAAAATGTGATAAAATTAAACTCTTTCACGTATGCCAAATATATTTTGATTTAGTGCTTCATTAAGTGCATGATTACAGTCTCTATATCTTTTGATTTACCTTTCTATCTTTACAATTTTCAGCCCAGATACTTAGAGGTCACATAGTAAATTAAGGTTTTCTTTTTATAATAATCCCCATCTTTCTAAATTTGGTGAGTCACAGTAAGTTATTTTTTGGTTGTTGAAAGCTGTGGCTCTGTTCTAAATTTGAGCCCAGAAATCATGCCACTTACAAAATATGCTTTGTCTTCCAACATCAGAGTGTGTGGTAGAAGGTGACTGTTCTTGGAATTTAAAAAATCTAAACAGGACAAGACAAGAATATGGAAAATATTTCTGTTTCTGATAATATGGCTGAGTAGGTACTCTGCAAAGCCTCCGTCATAAAATAGACATTCTGGATGGTCCTTGCAAAGACATATTTGATCTTGCCAAAAAAAAAAAAAAAAAATCCAGAATCTCTAAGAATGAAGATGAAGTGAAAATCAGAAGGGCTACTATGAGAATAATGGGGAAGCAGCCCCAGTTATCAAGGGATGTTTGCATGTGTTCAATAAAAAGTTTCAAACCTAAAAAAAGTTAAGAAAAATAATATAACTGCCCTACATACATACATCATCAACAATTTTTCATTCATGGCATGGCCAGTTTTTGTTTTGCTTTTTTTTTTAAAGGTGGGCTTTTGCTGTGGTTGCCCAGGCTGGAGTGCAGTGGCATGATCTTGACTTACTGAAACTTCTGCCTCCCAGGTTCAAGCAATTCTCCTGCCTCAGCCTCCTGAGTAGCTGGGATTACAGGCACCCGTCACAACATCCGGCTAATTTTTGTATTTTTAGTAGAGATGGGGTGTCACCACGTTGGCCAGGCTGGTCTTGAACTCCTGACATCAGGTGATTTGCCTGCCTCGGCCTCCCAAAGTGCTGGGATTACAGGCGTGAGCCACCGCACCTGGCCACATCCTGTTTTGTTCCATTTGTATTCCCACTTCATTTATATACATTCCTTCTTCCTCTGAATTATTTTTAAGTAAAACCTATATATCATATCATTTTTAAAATTACCTTATATGTATCTGTAGAAGACAAGGAATTTTTAAAAATAAATATACTCATAACGCCATTAAATATCAAAAAATTAATACATTCTGAAAATAGCCACAAATCCAGAGTTCACATTTTCTTGACTTTCTCATAAGTGATTTTTTCTAGGTTATCTATTTCAATCAGATACCTGTTTGCTCATATTTACATTCCTAACTGAACAATGTCTGAAGAGGTACTTAAACCTGACATAAAACGCAAATGAGCTTATGACCAAATGCTTAGTGCAAGAAAAAACTTCACACTGCAAGATGAGTCCCTCCAAATACAGAAAGGACCAGTATTTTAAGAGGTATGTTAACTACAATGTTGCAGTGTATGGAGCAGAGCAGGAAGAACCTTTAAGTCTGAAAAGTACAAGTAAATTTCATAGTTTCCCTGGTCCTTCCACAACAACCTCTGGCATCTGTTTTTTCTACAATGGAGGTAACAGTAGCTCTTTCAGAGCAGGAAAAGGCTTAGAGCAGTGCTAGAAGAGGGTGGTGGCTATATAAAGTGTAGCTATTTGTATATTGTAACAAACCAACTTTTTTTTTTTTTTTTTAAGTCAATGGTAGATTTCTTTTGGAAAAATAGCAGCCTCCTGTCTGGGGACACCTGCAGTTCCACTAAGTGAACATTGGTGTCTGCTCACCTTTGCCTCTATTTCTCTCAATAATATACTCTTAAGCTGTTCCCTGATTTAGCAATTTTATATACTTTCTTTTTCTTTATTTTTTTTTTCCTTTCCCTTTTCCTGAGACACTGTCCCGCTCTGTCGCCCAGTCTGGACTGCAGCAGTGCCAACATGGCTCACTGCCACCTCCACCCCCTGGCTCAAGCAATCCTCCTACATCAGCCTTCAGAGTAGCTGGGACTACCCGCCGGGCCCACCAGGCCAGGCTAATCTTTATGGTTTTTGTTTTGTTTTTCTGTTAAGAGACCTGGTGTCGGGTCAGGCGCAGTGACTCACGCCTGCAATCCCAGCACCCCAGAAGGTGGAGTCCGGCAGATCACCTGAGGTGAGGAGCTGGAGACCAGCCTGACCAACATGGAGAAACCCAGTCTCTACCAAAAAAATAAAAAAATAAAAAATTAACTTGGCATGGTGGCTCACGCCTGCAATCCCAGCCACTCAGGAGGCTAAGGCAGGAGGACCACCCAAACCCGGGAGGTGGAGGCCACGGGGAGCTGAGACCGGGCCACTGCACTCCAGCCTGGGCAACAAGAGCGAAACTCTGCCTCAAAAAAAAAAAAAAAAGACCGGTTTCACCACGTTGCCCAGGCCGGTCTGGATCTCCTAGGCTCAATCGATCCTCAGTGCTCGGCCGTCCAAAGTCCCAGCTGGGATCACCAGCGTGAGCCACCACGCCAGGCCAATCTGTTCCTTTCTGATTAATAAATTGGGCCGGTCACAGTGGCTTATGCCTGGAATCGCACCACCCCGAGAGGCCGAGGCGGGTGGATAACCTGCAGTCGGGAGTTTGAGACCAGCCTGACCAATGTGGAGAATACTCGTCTATACTAAAAAAAAAAAAACAAAAAATACAAAGTTAGCAGGTATGGTGGTTCACACCTGCAATCCCAGCCACTCGGGAGGCTGAGGCAGGAGAACCACCCAAACCCAGGAGGCGGAGGCCCAGTGAGCTGAGTCCACGCCACTGCACTCCAGCCTGGGCAACAAGAGCGTAACTCCACCTCAAAAAAAAAAAACAAAACAAAAACAAAAAACAAAGCGACCGGGTTTCACCGTGTTGCCCAGGCTGGTCTGGAACTCCTAGGCTCAAGCGATCTGCCGCTCTCGGCCGTCCAAATTCCTGGGATCACAAGCATGAGCCACCACTCCAGGCCAATCTATTCCTTTCTAATTAATAAATTGGGCCAGGAACGGTGACTCAAGCCTGCAATCCCAGCACCCAGGGAGGCCGAGGCGGGCGGATCACCTGAGGTCGGGAGTCTGAGATCAGCCTGACAAACATGAAGAAACCCCGTCTCTACCAAAAAAAAAAAAAAAAAAAGCCGGGCATAGTGGCTCACACCTGCAATCCCAGCCACTTGGGAAGCTGAGGCAGGAGAACCAACCAAACCCGGAGAGGGAGGCCACAGGCAGCCGAGACCACGCCACTGCACTCCAGCCAGTCAGCAAGAGCGAAATTCTGTCTCAAAAAAAAAAAAAAAAAAAAAAAGAGACCAAGTTTCATCATGTTGCCCAGGCCAGTCTGGAACTCCTAGTCTCAAGTGATCCCCCGCGCTCAGCCATACAAAGTCCTGGGATCAATCGTGAGCCACCACGCCAGGCCGATCAGTTCCTTTATGATTAATAAATTGGGACTTGCGCAGTGGCTCACGCCTGAAATCCCAGCACCCCTAGAGGCCGAGGCGGGCAGATAACCTGAGGTCGGGAGTTTGAGACCAGCCTGACCAACATGGAGAAACCCCATCTCCACCAAAAAAATAAAAAAAAAAAAAAAAAAAAAAGAGCCGAGCATGATGGCTCACGCCTGCAATCCCAGCCACTAGGGAGGCTGTGGCAGGAGAACCACCCAAACCGGGGAGGCAGAGGCCCGGCGAGCTGAGTCCACACCACTGCACTCCAGCCTGGGCAACAAGAGCGGAACTCCGCCTCAAAAAAAAACAAAAACAAAAAACAAACAAAAAAAGTGACCCGGTTTCACCATGTTGCCCAGGCTGGTCTGGAACTCCTAGGCTCAAGGGATCCAACACGCTCGGCTGTCCAAATTCTTGGGATCACAAGCGTGAGCCACCACACCAGGCCGATCTATTCTTTTCTGATTAAGAAATTGGGCTGGGTGCGGTGGCTCACACCTGCAATCCCAGCACCCCGGTGGCTCATGCTTACAATCCTGAAGCAGGATTTTTAAGGAATTAGAGAGACTGATGGGGTTTAGGAGGTTATTAATTAATTATTTACGTGCATTGGCCCAGTCGGATTAACATTTAAAGCACTGAGTTCTGAACAAGACTTACCTTTTAAGCATTTTATGGGGTGGGGGTAGATCTGTGCAGGGTGAAGCATATGATAGAAGTGAGAAACAAAGATAATTGTTCAATTGAATCATGCATTATATTATTTTTTCCTTTTTTAGGAAAAATATGTTTTGTAACTTGAGTTTGTTTAGTGACCTTGCAGTTGTACAGTTAGGGAATTAGGGTTTTTATAATGCCCGGGAAGGGAGGAGAGATAAGGCTCACTGCCATAGAAAAACAGGAGGTAGTAGTTTTTTTTGAAGGACTCTAGCTCTTCTCTTTCTCAGGGGGAATTGGTTTTACATACAACTGAGTTTTTGTTTACACATTTTTTAATTTCTTTTAATTCCTGTTCCCATCCCAGCACCCTGAGAGGACGAGGCAGGCAGATAACCTGAGGTCGGGAGTTTGAGACCAGCCCCACGAACATGAAGCCCCATCTCCACCAAAAAAATTAAATAAATAAATTAGCCGGGCATGGTGGCTCAGCCTGCAATCCCAGCCACTCGGGAGGCTGAGGCAGGAATATTTTCTCCCTCCCTTAGATAAAAGATAGCATATACCATTGTGCACTTTGTTTTTTGACCTGGGGTGGGGTCTCACTCTGTCACTGAGGCTGGAGTACAGTGGTGTGATCTTGGCTCAATGAAACCTCTGCCTCCTAGACTCAAGCTGTCTTCCCACCCCAGCCTCCAGGGTAGCTGGAACCACAGGTGTGTGCCACCACACCCGGCTATTTTTTTTGTATTTTTGGTAGTGACTGGGTTTTGCCATGCTGCCCAGGCTGATATCGGGCTCAGGCGATCCACCTGCCTCAGCCTCCCAGAGTGTTTTCAAAGTGCTGGGAATTACAGGTGTGAGCCACTGCATCCGGCCCATTTTGCACCTTTTTAAACTTCTCTTAGAGATCACTTCATATCTGTTTATAGAAATGTTCTTCATCTTTTTTAAAATTAGTACTTTGTAGTGTGGATGTACCACTTTTTTATTCAGTTAGGTTTTTTTTTGACATTTGAGTGTTAGGTCTTTTTTTCTGACATTATAAGACTAAAATATGAAAAGAAAAACTAGAAAAAATTTCAAAGAAAATTTACCTGTCTTTGTGATCTTGTTGTAGGGAAACTTTTTGTAATGGTTAGTATCCAGGATATGAAAAATAGCCTAATAATGAAAAGAAAAACTTAAGACAAAATGGGCATAGGATGTGAAGAGTTACTTTATAGAGGAAGAAACTGGAATGGTCAGTAAACATGGGAAAAGATACTTGAACTAGAAACTCATGGATAAATTGAAAGTTAAAATGACTATTCTGTCATCTTCAGATTGGCGAAAATGTAAGTCTGACAGAATTGCTGGCAGAGATATGGGCCAGTGGAAACTCAGCTAGGTAAAGTGGAGTGCAATTTTATAATCTCTAATGAAGTTGAAGATGCACATACCTGAGCAAAAAAACACATGTGTACAAAGAAATTTGGAAAACCTGTTTATCACGGTAGTATTTGCAGTAACATAAGATGATGCAGAATGTAAGTTAACCAACAAGAGATTGGATAAACTCATATCCATGTGGTGGAATATTATACAGCAATTAAACATGAACATACTAGATTGAAAAGAATTAACATGGGTAAATCTCATGAAGAAAACTTTGGGTGAAAAAGGCAAGCTGCAGAAGGATATGGGCAATATAATAACATATGTGAGTAGTTCATTTCCATATTTATGTTGTTTCAAAGGAGTTATCGGCCAGGCACGAAGGCTCACACCTGTAATCCTGGCACTTTGGGAGGCTGAGGTGTATCGGGCAAAATTCACCCCCGATATTTCACATAGTTTCTTTTCTATTTTCCCTAAGTGTTGGCCGGTCTGAGAAATAAAGGAACAGAGTACAAAAGAGAAATTTTAAAGCTGGGTGTCCGGAGGAGACATCACATGTTGGCAGGTTCCGTGATGCCCCCTGAGCCGTAAAACCAGCAAGTTTTTATTAGCAATTTTCAAAAGGGGAGGGAGTGTACGAATAGGGTGTGGGTCACAGAGATCACATGCTTCACAAGGTAATAGAATATCACAAGGCAAGTGGAGGCAGGGCGAGATCACAGGACCACAGGACCGGGGCAAAATTAAAATTGCTAATGAAGTTTCAGACACGCATTGTCATTGATAACATCTTATCAGGAAACAGGGTTTGAGAGCAGACAACTGGTCTGACCAAAATTTATTAGGCAGGAATTTCCTCGTCCTAATAAGACTGGGAGCGCTATGGGAGACCGGGGCTTATTTCATCCCTCTGCTGTGACTGTAAAAGACAGCCGTCCCCAAAGTGGCCATTTCAGAGGCCTCCCCTCAGGGATACATTCTCTTTCTCAGGGATGTTCCTTGCTGAGAAAAAGAACTCAACGATATTTCTCCCATTTGCTTTTCAAAGAAGAGAAATATGGCTCTGTTCCGCCCGGCTCACCGGCAGTCAGAGTTTAAGATTATCTCTCTTGTTCCCTGAACATTGCTGTTATCCTGTTGTTTTTTCAAGGTGCCCAGATTTCATATTGTTCAAACACACATGTTCTACAAACAATTTGTGCAGTTAACGCAATCATCACAGAGTCCTGAGGCGACATACATCCTCCTCAGCTTATGAAGATGACGGGATTAAGAGATTAAAGACAGGCATAGGAAATCACAAGGGTATTGATTGGGGAAGTGATAAGTGTCCATGAAATCTTCACAATTTATGTTCAGAGACTGCAGTAAAGACAGGCGTAAGAAATTATAAAAGTATTAATTTGGGGAACTAATAAATCTCCATGAAATCTTCACAATTTATGTTCTTCTGCCATGGCTTCAGCTGGTCCCTCCGTTTGGGGTCCCTGACTTCCTGCAACAGAGGTGGGTGGATCACCTGAGGTCAGGAGTTTGAGACCAGCCTGGCCAACATGGTGAAACCTCATTTTGGGGTGTGGTGGTGCATGCCTGTAATCCCAGCTACTCGGTAGGCTGAGGCAGGATAATCACTCGAACCGGGGAGGCGGAGGTTGCAGTGAGCCCAGATTGCAACACTATACTCCAGCCTGGGTGACAGAGCAAGACTCCATCACCAAAAAAAAAAAAAAAAATCTCTTAGTTTCTGATGGTTTTCCTGACCATATATGTGATGCCGAAGTTGCTTTTTTGTTGTCACATCTATTGGCATCAAGTGCTGAACTTTTCATGGAGTGGCAATTTTTTGGTAATAAAGCAACTTTCAAAATGAGTCTAAGTTTATCTCTGGAAAAGTTTGAAAGAATCAGTGAAGGTTCTTTTAGACAGTACCCATGTTCTACAGATCAGCCATTCTCTGTCTCTCAAATTTTCAGTAAACCTTTCCACATAGGATGTCAGCACGATTTTAATACGTTAAATATATGTAAAATAAGGCAAATTAAGACACAACTCCATCAACTCTCATCTGCTCTGGGCTTATTTCTCTTCATAGTACATAACACCATCTACGTCATATGCTTATTGTCTGTTTCTATTAGAGCAGGGTATTTTTGTTAGTGCTGTTAGTGTGCTCAGCATATACAGCAACACTTGGCAGACAGTAGGTGCTGAATGAAAGAATGAAGAAGAACAGAACTCATTTTACTAAAGACATTTTGATATCACTTTTGGGATAGGATACTATACATTAAAGATGATACACTGTTTATTCCAGAATGGTCTTAGCTACAGTGTTCACAGCACAGTATTTGTAGACTTAATGCTGTTATCCATTCTACCTTCCTTTGAGGTTGGCATGAGAGTTGCCCGTCAGCGTATGTGTGCTCTTAGAAATCAGGGACAATACTATCATTTTAAGCTTCTTGGCAGTGACGTGTACTTAACTAGATGGTGAACTCATAGGTGGATGGGGAGTATCTAATGCTTTTGTATTCTGCTTTTCAGCAAATAAATATTACCGTACTGTGTGTGTAACATGAGCTATATAAGTGTGTGATGATTAAATTAGAAGATAGGGTTCTCTGCAATCCAGTTTTCCAAGATAAATTTTTGCCTTGTTTTTGTTAGGTAATAAAGGTACCATATTGACTGTTGATATATGCCTACTTAGTCATGCTTCTCTTGCAGTAATCTTATCAAATTACCAGCTTTTTACTTTTTTAGAGAGACAGTCCTAGAATTGAGAATCCTCCTTTGCCTACATTCAAAATGAGACTATATTATGTGGGTAGGAAATTTCTGGTGACCTACTTTTAATTTTTAAATTTAAAAAAATATTAGCATAGTTTTATATTTAGAAAACAGTTGCAAAGGTGGTATAGAGAGTTTCTGTGTACCACACAGGCACCCAGTTTCCCTTGTTGCTAACATCTTACATGATTATGGTATATTTGTCATAACTAACAAATCAGTATTGATATATTATAACTAAACTGCATACTTTTAGGGGTAGTGACCCAGTTTTAAAGCTTATTTCCCACAATTTGTTAAAAATGACAATCAGTATTGAGTGCCCATGGGTGGTGGCTTCCTGATTCTTCAAAGAAACTGAGTAATTTTGTAACCATTGGGACTTATCAGGAAATAAGGAACTCATAATAATGTGCGCTTAAATTTCCAGTGGAGGAATTGTACAGCTTAACATACGGTTTTGTAAGTTGGGTATTAATACATAAAGAGGCTGGGTGGGGTTTGATCACTATTAAAACTGATTTGTTTTGTTCCCTGGAAAATATGTTACTACCACATGGTCTACCCTTCATAGATAATCGAACCTAAGATCACTGGGCAGAAAAGGGTTGCCCTGTAGTAGGAAATGTGTCCTCCTGGGACTGAGTTGAGATTTAGTTTAGCACACAGAATAAGTAGCCAACGGCTGCTATGAGTCTGACTTCTATAATTCAAATTGGTATAAATTAAATCTAATTCTTTTCCCCAGGACTGCCCAATTTAAGATTAAGTTTTATACTGGCGCTTATTAGAGATATGGCCATTTTGCCATTTCAGTGGAACCTTTTAATCAGCTTTAATGCTGTCTTAGGTAAAGTAAAAACTTAATCTAAGGGCTTTTCTAGTTTGCCATCCTCAAAGCAGAAAAAGCAGCAATGAAGCAGCACTGCCTCATATAGACTCTGCTTTTATTAAATTTGCTTCAATAATCCTCTTCCAGTCATCTTTTGTGCTGCATATTTGAACCATAAAATAAGCAAAAACTGTACCCAAATGAAAATTTCAAGTTATTTTAATGAAGCTCTGGAAACATCCCAGAGCTCAGAAGATGTTTTTTCCTAGTTTATTTTTTAAATTCTGGAAAGTAGGTCAGTAGACATACCCCGCTTTAATTGGTTTAATTAGAAGTGAAAAATTATAGGACTAACTCAATTTGAAGTATAGATTTCAATAAGAAGAATTATACTGGGATGAATATTATTTAAGGTTTTGAATTTAAGATGCATTTAATCAATGCTTATAATTTCCTCTTGAAAAGATTTATATTGCAAAAAAGAAGACTAAGTGTTGGAATATGTCAATATATAGGGAAAAACTTTGCCATGAAATATAATATTTGATAAAATCATTTTAGAATTGTATCTCTAAATGGTATGCCTAAGAATATTGTTCTATAGGACCTTAATAGATATGCCTCGGGGGAAAAAAGTATTGTGTGCTCAAGTGAGTTTGAGATATACTGCATTAAATATAAGAAGTTGCCTGCAGGACTTCTCAGAGTCTTTAACACTTTCTGAATTTCTGAGACAAGATATATAGAGGGTACAGTACTTTGCAAACCTATTTATCCCTATACCACCTAGTAACATTTTTCAGGAAAATGTTTTGAGAACACGAATTTGACCTGTTTTAGGAATTTATACCTTTGACAATGTTGAGGACCTTGTTTTTTCCTATTATAATGATGATGTGATATTCACATATATTACTTTTTCCCAATTCTTTAAGATATTTTTCCAATGTATTATATTCAACCCTCTGCTCAGTGCCTTCCTTCTGCTAACTAAAGTGATGGTTTCCGTCTGTTGCTACACATCAGACATACTTGGCCCTGACCCTGGAGATTCTGTATGAACAGAAATGCCAGAATACCTGCTCAGGATTCTGTATTTATTACAAACACCCAGGTGATTCTGATGCAGCCAACACTGGTCCTCCAACTGATGCTTTGGAATTGTTGAACTAAAAGCATGCCTTTTTTTCTAGATGGATGAGTAGATTGGGGCATAGTTTGTGGTCCTAGAACACATGGGTTAACCATCCCTCCTAGTGAGAATGATAGCACAGGCCTCTGATGACCCCACGAGGTGCTGTGCTGGCTATAACCTAACATGAAACGATCATTATTCCTTAAGAAAAGCAGAATATGTCTAAATGGGCTTTTAGCCACCTTCCTAATAATGAAGTACCATATATATGACTACCATTTGTTTTAATTTCAAGTAATTCCCTTGTAGATGATGTTTTATTTATTCTTTTTTTTTTTTTTTTTTTGAGACAGAGTCTCGCTCTTTCGCCCAGGCTGGAGTGCAGTGGCGCGATCTCGGCTCACTGCAAGCTCCACCTCCCGGGTTCACGCCGTTCTCCTGCCTCAGCCTCCTGAGTAGCTGGGACTACAGGCGCCCGCCACCACGCCCAGCTAATTTTTTGTATTTTTGGTAGAGACGGGGTTTCACCGTGTTAGCCAGGATGGTCTCGATCTCCTGACCTCGTGATCCGCCCGCCTTGGCCTCCCAAAGTGCTGGGATTACAGGTGTGAGCCACCGTGCCCGGCCTATTCTTTAAAAAGAATATTAGATTATATTTTCTAAATGTGCCAAGTATCTAAGAATATATTCTTTCACCTCCTGCTGATAAGAGTTATACATTTAACCTTAAGCAAATCTGCCAAGATTCTATGTCATTTATGCTTTGATTTATGTGAGTATTAATGTAGTTTCTGTGACTATTATATGGTTATATATACCCTCCACCTAGTAAAACAGTTCCATATTCCTGGAAATGGTCTTTTACATCCTACAAGTGTAGCTGGAAAGGAATAATATAAATACTAATGGTTTGAGAGACAACTAGTCTTGACATGTCTTGGTTGAATAGTGTTCTATAAGCAACAATATATGAAATACTAGACATACCCATTAAAAGCAGAAAATACCCACTACTGTTTTAAAATTATTCTGCAAGATCTCATCAATGCAATGAGACATAAAACAGAAATAATGGGTGTAATTATTGAAAATTGGAGATAAAATTTTTATTACTTGTAAACAAAATTCTGTCAAAAACCTGACAAATTAAACAATACAATTAATATGTTTAATAGAACTAATTACATATGAGAGGCATCCAAAATCCATTTTTTCTATACAAACATGGTTTGATATACAGTCATTTTATCTGTGTATTAATTGGTTTATGAAATAACAAATAGAAAAATCAAGTATGCATTATCAAGTTAAAGAAGCAGGAGAGATGGAGCTATAAAAACAAAGAGAGAAGAATGTTGTAAGGAGGGCTTAACAACCAGGATAAATGTTGTAGAGAGATCAATTAAAGTGATGGCCTAGAGATCACGGGCTTCCTTTGGCAGAGCCATGTTGGTGAAGTGAAGGAAGTGGAAGCCAGACCACAATGGTTGAAGAATGAATGTAATGTAAGAGCCAAGACATTTATTTGAGTCTGATAGTAATGAAAAAGGACAAGAATTTTCTTCTTGCTGTTGTTTTTGTCATTTCATGTTCAAAACCCTTTATCTCCCATGTGGTACTGAAAACTCCAAGATGGGATCTCTGTTTCTGTGAGGCCTGTAGTGCTTAGTACATCCTTGAATGTGTGAGGCTCTCATTGGTATAAGTTTAATTCCTGACTGTGGATGAAATCTTTAAAACTTTGCGGGCAAAATACAGAATGAATTTCAGTGAGTTCCCATGTATTAAACAAGGTGGCGCTGGCTGGAGACATGCTGTCCCTGTGCCCACAGGAGTAGCAGTGCTGTGCTCATCTTCCTGACCCGCTCTTCACAGTCTTCACCGCCTTTCTTCAGGAGTCTCCCCTTTGGCTTTTCCACAGCTATGAAACCCACGTAGTCGGACACCCTAATGCTTCTCCTGCAGGGTGTGTGATGAGGAGGTGAGCTTGGCTTTGGAGTGCTGGGAACCTGAGGAATTGCCAAGGACCCAGAGCCCAGCCCTGACCACCCAGAGAGCCCAAAACACAATGAACAAATTGAATTTCCACAACAACAGAGTCATGCAAGACCGCCGCAGCGTGTGCCTTTTCCTTCCCAATGAGAATCTCTGAACATCATCATAAATGTGAGTAGATCTCAATATAATTCTGATAGCTGGAGGATAGTGTATTTTCAGGTTTGCTGGAGGGAAAAAACTGGACTTTAAATAATTAAGACAAAATGATTGTATTAATTGACTTCTATTCTTAATCACTAATTTCATTTTTTATATTTCCCTTGACTTTTGGGGGAGAAATAGTCTTTGTCTCAAAAGTGGGCTTCAGTGACCTATGGGTTTGATAAAGCAACCAGAGATAATGAGACAAGAATATTTAATGGCAACATGCCAGCAATTATTATTAGTTAATTGAAAGCGTTTATGATTTTGGCCTGGGTCCAATGCTTTCCCCCTCTGCTGGACTAACATGTGGGTAAGGGAGAGGAAAAGCTTTGTTTCACTTTTTAAATAAAAGTATTACGTAACTTTGAAATTTGTATAAAATTAAAAGATAGTAAAAACAACTATTCTAACAGAATTCAAAACCTGTTATGCTTCAGTGGAGAGATTATTCAAGATAAGTCCGTGGGAAATTGGGAGTACATTTCTACTGGCAAAGTTAGTGATAACTATGCACTTCTGACAAAATGTGAAATGGGGGGTATGGGTGTGTCATATCATCATGGTGCAGATACGTGGATGTGTGCTTCCAAACAATGGCAACCTAACTGACTGCTGGAACCATACAAAATACCTGAAACTACTCAGAAAGAAGGTGAAAATTGCATGCAAAAATTATTTGAAAAATATTGAGCTAACACAACATGAATTTGGAATTATAAGTGAGGTATTGTAACTCACCTACAGATGTGTTTTTTGTAATCAATATTCATGGACTCAGACTACACAGTAAAAGCTTACATAGAAATCATTCTATCTAAACTTTCTGGATACGAAAGTAACCTAGTATGCGTTTTGCTACTATATCTTTATATGAATTTAAATCACATTTCCAAGTGGCTTACAGTAATCAAGGTTGTCACAAGGAAGATGCAAATTAAAACCACATTGCAATATCACTGCACACCCACTAGTACGGTTTAAAAGAAAAAAAAAACAGAAAATATCAAGTATTGGTGACAATGTGGAGCAAACAGAACTCTTTTTCAATAATGGCAGGTATGTAAAGTGGCACAAACACTTTGGAAACCTGTTTGGCATTATACTGTACTAAACCTGAACACACGCATTGTTTATGACCCAGGAATGCCCCTCCTGGGAACCAACAACAACGCATATATGTGTTGCATATGTTCACCAAAAGACATTTACAAGAATGTTCATAGCAGCACTATTTGAAATCACCCCCAAGTAGAAAATGCACAAATATTTAACAGTAGTTGGATAAAGTGTGGTACGTTTATGCAATATAATACCATATAGAAATGAGAGTGAGGGATCTGCAAACTAATATGCAACTGTACAAATGAATCCCACAAATATAATGTTGGGTGGCAGAAGCCAGATGCAAATGAATACATGCTGTAGATTTCATTCTTTTACATTAAAAAAGCTAGTCACACAAAGTTATGCTGTTAGAAGAGAGTGATTTGGTCGGGCGCAGGGGTAGTTACAGGAAGGGAGTACACGGAGATTTCTGGTTGTTAGTTATGTTCAGTGTCAATCTATGTGCTAAACAGGTACAATAAAGATTTTAGAATTCATCAATTTGCACACTTATGATAGATGCACTTTCCTGTATGTATATTTCAATAAAATCTTTTAAAAAGTAAAATGACAAAAAGACACTATTAACAAAAATGACATATTATATTAACTGTTATACTAAGGAAAATATAAAAATGAGTTCTATAACAGGGGCTCTGCAGGTCATGTGGTCATGCCAAGGACCATATGTGCTCAAGATTCTCATGACATTTTGGAAGGAGGTTGGGCTTTCTTTATCTTTCCTTTCTTCTCTCCCTTCCCTTCCCTTCCCTTCCCTATTTTTAAACCTAGGTTTGGTATTTTCCTGGGGTGATGGTGACTTTGGAAAATTGGGCCGGGGCGGAAGTGAAGGCTGCAACATTCCCCAGAACATTGAGAGACTAAATGGACAGGGGGTGTGCCAGATTGAGTGTGGAGCTCAGTTCCTACTGGCGCTCACCAAGTCTGGAGTGGTGTGGACATGGTACGTAAACGTCCTCCCCGTCACAGTGTGCGTGCTTGTGCCGACGCGTGCAGGGAACTTGGGCCTCGCCCCAGGACCACCCCGGCGTGATTGTGACCTGTCATATTTTTACTTATGCATGCATCTTTGTCCTTTAAAGGATATTGAGTCGGGATTAGTGACAATAGTACAAGAAGAAATTTCCTATTGTAACTGGGTCATTTTGAAAATACTAGAAAAATTTTAGGCCACTTACCTTTCCTGTTTGGGCGAGATTTATAGGAAGTGTTTCTTCTGCTGAAGCCTAAGGATAAAATGAGAGCAAAATAGCCTTCTGAATCCTTTGATCCTGAGAAAGTTAACATGTATTTCTTGTAAAAGCTTATTATATTAATGTGCAAATGAGCAGGTGCCCAGACTGGCCTTGGATGCTGTGTCAGGCCTTGCTGCCTCTGGTCATAACATTGGCACTATTTATTTATTTATTTATTTATTTATTTATTTATTTATTTGAGATGGAGTCTCGCTCTGTCGCCCAGGCTGGAATGCAGTGGCACAATCTCAGCTCACTGCAAGCTCCGTCTCCCGGGTTCACGCCATTCTCCTGCCTCAGCCTCCCGAGTAGCTGGGACTACAGGCGTCTGCCACCATGCCCGGCTAATTTTTTTGTGTTTTTAGTAGAGATAGGGTTTCACCATGTTAGCCAGGATGGTCTCGATCTCCTGACCTTGTGATCCACCCGCCTCGGCCTCCCAAAGTGCTGGGATTACAGGCGTGAACCACTGCTACTGGCCGACATTGGCACTCTGAGAAAGATGTATACCAGATAGGACTTTGGATAGGTGTTTGCAGTAATGTGTCTTATTTTCAGTCTATATGAAAACCTACAACAGTAACTTAAATATTGTAGAACATGTATTAAGGTATTAAGGTTTTTCCCAGCTGACTTAATAAGTTAATTTGAATTAATGGTGTATGATTTTGAATACAAGTTCGAAGACCTTGGGTGCTGTGTGTGATGTCATTGAGCTGGCTGTGAAAGATGTGAGACAATGAGTGTCTTCTTGTATAGCATTGTCAGACCACAACTATATTGTAACACTCCACCACGGGCCTCCTTCTCAGGGGAAAGGGGGATTACTTCAGGTTGCGCCAGGGCTCTGACGTGCACGTGTGGAAACTGTAGGTGGTGGAAGGGCTGAGAGGGAAGAAGATCGTGCATGTGGCTGTCGGGGCCCTGCACTGCCTGGCGGTCACGGACTCGGGGCAGGTAAGGCTGCAGGTGGCCTGGGGGTGGCGTGCCATCCTGACTTGGGGGACGTGGGGGTCACGACATGGCCCTCGTCCTGTTGAAATCACAGCTGTTGATGAACTCAGCCGAGTCTTACTGCTTGAAGAACCATGAGGCCGGGACCCATCCGTTTTGCCCGCTGGTGTATCTGCCTACTCAGCAGCAGGGGTTGGGGGCGGGGTCCTCAGAAAAGAGGCGTTCCCACTCTGAAGTCCACGTGAAAAGTGTGTGGAAAGATTGTTATCCCTTTTTTTTTTTTTTTTTTTTTTTTTGAGACAGAGTCTCGCTCTGTCGCCCAGGCTGGAGTGCAGTGGCGCGATCTCGGCTCACTGCAAGTTCTGCCTCCTGGGTTCATGCCATTCTCCTGCCTCAGCCTCCCGAGTAGCTGGGACTACAGGCGCCCGCCACCACGCCCAGCTAATTTTTTGTATTTTTAGTAGAGACGGGGTTTCACCGTGGTCTCGATCTCCTGACCTCGTGATCCACCTGCCTCGGCCTCCCAAAGTGCTGGGATTACAGGCGTGAGCCACCGCACCCGGCCAAAAGATTGTTATTCTTGAAGATGCTCCTACTGCAAGGTATTAACAAGACTTTGCTTTAGGAAATTGCTAACTGGTGAGGAGGCACCCATGCCTCATTTTAGAGACAGAGCTAGTGCCTGACAAGTGTTACACTCTCTTCTGCTTGGAGAAGCATATGCTATGACCGGCTTGTGGATATTCAATTTAAAATTTTATTTATGAAAACAAAATTACCATTACTGTTTTTTAGTCAAAATGAATTATACTTTATAATTCTATAAGGCCAAGGAGCTACTTACTTGAAAAATGAGCATATTGTTTTTGGTCATTTTTCTTTGCAAAGTAAAAGGGAAAAAATTATTGCACTTAGTTGAAGAGAGGACCTTCTGTGTGACTTGCAACAAAGCAGAATTAATTTGATTAATATTAAGAAAATACTCCTTTTATGGTTATTGGCATTTTCATGGTTAGATTTTCTTCAGAATTATAGTACACCGATGCCATTTTGTAAGATTGTGAAATGGTTTGCTTTTACTTTTAAGAACTCAATTCTTTCAAATACCATGGCATACACGTTAAGCATTTTGAAGTAAAAATTACATTAAAGAAAATGTCCTGAAATGTTGAAAAATTATAAGCTTTTTTCTCCTCGTAAACAGGTGTATGCTTGGGGTGACAACGACCACGGCCAGCAGGGCAATGGCACGACCACGGTTAACAGGAAGCCCACACTCATGCAAGGCTTAGAAGGCCAGAAGATCATGTGTGTGGCTTGCGGGTCATCCCACAGTGTGGCGTGGACAACTGTGGATGTGGCCACGCCCTCTGTCCACGAGCCCGTCCTCTTCCAGACTGCAAGAGACCCTTTAGGTGCTTCCTATTTAGGTAACACAGATTTGTATCCTGAGATTTTTCTGTAGGTTACAGCAACTTTACATTTATTTAATTGTGCCAACACATTAGAGGTTGTAGTGCTGCGTTAACTACATTATGAATCTAAAGACACAGAAGAATTATGGTGTGCGCTCATGCGATTTATGCTGCTGGAATGAAAGTTTTAGAAGAAAGTATGTTGCTGATTCTTGTGTTTATGATCAGGTAAACTCACAGCGCTGTACTTGTGTGTGAACAGGACTCCTAATAACTGCCTGAGAGCTACAGGCACTGTACTGGGCTCTTTTGTATTTTTTAACAGCTTTATTCAGTTATAATTGACATATAATAAACTGCACCTATTTAAAGTATGCATTTTGATTGACTTTGGAATATGTATGATCCATGAAAGCATCAGCACAATCAAAGATAATGAACTCATACACTACCCCAGCGTTTCTCTCTGGCCCTCTGTACCCCTCCCTTTTGCTTTTACCTCCCTCCTTCCTGCCGTATGCACCAATTCTGTCACTAGAGATCAGTTTGCATGTCTGCTTTTTGTTGTTGTTGTTTTGTGGGTGTTTTATTTGTTTGTTTTCTTTTTTTTGTAGACAGGGTCTCACTCTGTTGCCCAGGCTGGAGTGCAGTGGCATGATCTTGGCTCACTGCAGCTTCCACCTCCTGGGCTCAAGTGATCCTCCCACCTTAGCCTCCCAAATAGCTGGGACTACAGGCACATGTCACCATGCCTGGCTAATTTTTGTTTGTTTGGTGGAGACATGGTTTTGCCATGTTGCTCAGGTTGGTCTTGAACTCCTGAGCTCAAGTGATCCTCCCACCTCAGCCTCCCAAAGTGCTGGGATTACGGGCAGGAGCCACTGTGGCAGGCCAGTTTGCATGTTTTACAGCTTACTATAAGTAGAATCATACAGCATATACTCTTTTTAAAAATCTTACTTTTTCCACTCAGCATAATAATTTTGAGATTCACTTACGTTGCATGTATCAATAGTTTATTCTTTTAAATTGTTGAATAGTATCTTAAGATAAACAAATGCAATTTGTTCATCCATTTTTCTGTTGATGAATGTTTGGGCTGTTTCCAGTTTTTGACTATGCAAGTGAAATTGCTAATGGACATTTCCATACAAGTTTGTGTATGGACATCCACTTGAAATTCTCTTGGGTAAACTTCTAAGAGAGGAGTGGTTGGATCATATGGTACGTGTATGTCTAGCTTCTTAAGATCGCTACATACTGTTTTGCAAAGTGGATGTTCCAGAGGTCCACATCCTCCACATTTTTGTCAACCCTTGATACGTTCAGTCTTTAATTTTAGTTATACTGACAGATGTATAGTGGTATCTCGTTGTGGTTTTAATCTGCATTTCCCTAATAACTAATGATCTCAAGCATCTTGCTTATTTACAAATCACATACCTTTTTTGGTGAATGTCTGTTCAAGTCTTTTCCCATATTTAAATAGGTTGTTTTCTTACTGGTTTGAGAGTTCCTTATATATTCTGAGTTACAAGTCCTTTGCCTAATATAGAATTTGCTAGTATTTTCTGTCAGTGTGGCTTGTCATTTTATTCTCTTCACAGGTGAATCTTAAAGATTAGAAGTTTTTAATTTTGATGAAGCCTAGTTTATTCATTTTATTCTTTTGTAGAGTGTACTTTTGATGTTGTGACTACAAAACCTTTGCCTCAAGATTATGAAGTTTGTCTTTCTATGTTCTGTTATAGAAGTTTTATAGTTTTAGACAGGTATATCTATGACCAGTTGATTAAATTTTATATATAGTGGGAGGTTCAGATTGAAAGGCTTTTTTGGGCATGATTGTCCAGTTGTTTCAGTTGTATTTGTTGAAAAACTACGCTTTTCCTACTGAATTGCCTTTTGCCTTTGTCAGAAATCAGTTGTCTATGGATGTATGGATCTATTTCTGGACTCCCAGTACTGTTTCATTGATTTATTTGTGTATTTTGGTGGCAATGCCACATTGTCTTGATTACTACAGCTTTATAAAAGGCCTGAACTCAGGTTGCAACAGTTTTTTAGCTTTGTTCTTTTTCAAATATATTTTGGCTGTTGCAGGCCCTTTACATTTCCATATGACTTAAAATGAGCTTGTCAGTTTTTATAAAACCGCTTGCTTGGGATTTTGATGTGGATTGCATTAATTCTGTAAGTCAATGTGCAAGGATGGATTCACAGTATTCAGTCTTCTAACCCATGAACATAGTGTTTCTCTTTATTTGTTAGGTGTCCAGTACATAATGACACATGAAGAGGCAAAAAAAGCGACTAAAAATGACCAGAAATGATAGGAGAGAAACAGACCCACAAGGGCTCCATATATTGGAGTTAGAAGACACAGACTTTAGTATAATAAATATGCTTACTGTGTTCAAAAAGATAATATTTCAGCAGAGAACCAAAAACTACTGAAAATAAAATAGAAAGACTAGAACTGATAAATCCAATATTTAAAATTAAGAACTTAATGAGTAAGTTTAGAACACACTGAACTCAGCTGAAGAGAAAGTAAAAATATCTGGAATGAAGAACTGAGGAGCAAAAGTTTAGAAAACATAACAAGAAGGTAAAAGATCTGCAGGACAGAGGTTAGGCCTAACACAAGTGAAAGAAGAGTCCCCCCAAAAAGATAGAAAAGAGAATAGAGCAGAGGCAAAATGTGAAGAAATACTGAAAGACAGAATTTTCCAAAACAGACAACAGATATCATGCCCCAGAAGCCCTACCAACCCCAAGAAAGATAAACATCTCCATGCACATGTAAAACCTGTGCAAGATGAAAACAAAAAGACTCTCTGAAAAGCAGACGAAGGAAAAATAAAATGAACCACAATTAGACTTCCATCCAACTTCAGGAGAAATAATATAAACCAAATTGCAATGGAATACTATTTTTAAAGTGCTGAAAGAAAACACCTAGCAAAAAGACTTTTCAAAAATAAAGGAGAAATAAAGACATTTTCAGACATACAAAAATAGATAATTTGTAACCAACAAAGACACATTTTTAAAAATATTAAGGGGATTTTCAGGCAGGAGAAAAACAGTATAGATGGAAAATTAAAGAAGAAGAAAAAAGTGGAGAGAAATTACAAAGTATGCAGAAAAATCTAAATCAATATTGACTACATAAAATCGTCATATGCCCTGCATGTATTGTTTGATCCTTTGACTTGTTTTTTTGCTTTTTTTGTTTTTTGAGACGTAGTCTTGTTCTGTCGCCCAGGCTGGAGTGCAGTGGCACGATCTCGGCTCACTGCAAGCTCCGCCTCCTGGGTTCACGCCATTCTCCCGCCTCAGCCTCCCAAGTAGTTGGGACTACAGGTGCCCGCCAACACACCGGCTAATTTTTTGTACTTTTAGTAGAGACAGGGTTTCACCGCGTTAGCCAGGATGGTCTCGATCTCCTGAACTCCTGATTCACCCGCCTCGGCCTCCCAAAGTGCTGGGATTACAGGCATGGATCATGAGGTCAGGAGATCGAGACCATCTTGGCTAACACGGTGAAGCCCCATCTCTATTAAAAATACGAAAAATTAGCTTGGCATGGTGGCATGCGTCTGTAGTCCCAGCTACTCGGGAGGCTGAGGCGGGAGGAATGGCGAGAACCCAGGAGGCGGAGCTTGCAGTGAGCTGAGATCACGCGCCACTGCACTCCAGCCTGGGTGACAGAGCGAGACTCTGTCTCAAAAAACAAAAACAAAAACAAAAACAAAAACAGGCATGAGTCACTGCGCCTGGCTGATCCTTTGACTTTTTTTGAAATTTTGTTTGAGCATATGACCCACTTAGCATATGACTGGATTTTATGAACATTTTCTATGTGCATAAAAGAATGTCTTCGATAGTTCTGTTAGATATATATTTGTATAAAATGTATAAAATTTTGGCTGGACGTGGTGGCTCATGCACATAACCCCAGCACTTTGGGAGACTGAGGTGGGTGGATCGCCTGAGGTCAGGAGTTCAAGAGCAGCCTGGCCAGCATGGTGAAATCTCACCTCCACTAAAAATACAAAAATTAGCCAGGCGTGGTGGCAGGAGCCTATAATCCCAGCTACTCAGGAGGCTGATGCAGGAGAATCGCTTGAGCCCGGGAGGTGTCAGTTGCAGTGAGCCAGGATCGCGCCACTGCACTCCAGCCGGGGCGACAGAGTGAGACTCCGTCTCAAAAAAAAAAAAAATTAAAAATTAAAATATGTTAAGAACATATAAATCAGAATGAAGATAAATGATGTTAAAGAGAACTAAGGTCTTTGCATTGTTTAGGAGGAGACTTTACTAAATAATAATAGATTTAAATCAGTCAAAAATAGATGTTATAATTAATATCTTCAGTAACTACTAAAACTAAAAATGTATATAACACATACACTCCTTATAGACAGAGTGAGACTCTGTCTCAAAAAAATAATAATTAAAAAAAAAAAGTAGAAAAGTTAGCTGAGCATGGTGGCACCGGCCTGTAATCCCAGCTGCTCAGCAGGCTGAGACAGGAGAACTGCTTGAACCCAGGAGGCGGAGGTTGCAGTGAGCCAAGATTGCGCCACTGCACTCCAGCCTGGGCAACAGAGTGAGACTCTATCTCACAAAGAAGAAAAGTGATATATGCATACAGTGGAATATTATTCAGCCATTAAAAAGGATGACGTTCTGACACATGCTACAATACGGATGAAGCTTGAAGACATTATGCTAAACACAAAAGGATAAATCTTACATGGTTCCATCTAGATGAGATGTCTGGAGTGGTCATAATCGTAGAGACCAAAGTTAGATTCAAGGTTACCAGGGTTGGGGTAAGGGGAAGTAGGGCAGTTAAATTGCTTAATGGGTACAGAGTTTCTGATCGGAGTGGTGAAAAGTTTTGGTAAGAGAAAGTTGTGATGGTTGTGCAACACTGTACTTAAGGTACTTAATACCCTGAATTATAAACTTAGAAAATGACTAAGTGGCTAATTTTAAGTTAAATATATTTTGCCACAATGAAAAATATAATAAAAGGTATACAAATTAAAACACTCACTCTCCATCTAACCAATTCCACATGCCACGCAACTAAACACTTACTAGTTTCTTGAGATTCTTTTAATGTTTCTTTATGGAAAAACAAGCAAACAAGCCTAGTTATTCTAATTCTTCCCCGATACCCCATCCTGATTTTTTTAAAAAGCCAGCCAGTCATCAGCGGGTAGGACCGTCACTTCCGTCTCACTGTACTCACTCTACAGAATTACCATATGCAAAGGAACCTTAAAATAACAAATTCCAGTACACTGTGGTCCACAATAAGTATTTCATTAATATTTGGTGGAAGAGAGAATATAAACATTCTGCCATACCTGGTTCATTTATTCTGCCAAATGTATGCCTGGTATTGTGTTTTTTGGTCTTGAAACACGTTTCACAAAAATCAAAGTCATCACAGTTTCTGCATTTGAATCTGGATCCATTGATAGGAAACATCTGACATCCATCACACCTATTTGTAAAATAGCAACTGAGTTAAGAAAGGTCATTTATTAAACTTAATTCAACAGAAAACCATTCGTCCCAAAGCAAATCTAGCAATCATAAAAATAACTCACGTAACCCCAGGATGAATACTGGGCACCAACTCCATTTCTGATAGCAACCCAGTCCAGTGAGACTGCTGGGGAAAGTCAACAATGATATCTTTTCCATTGGCACTGAAAGCCAGGACACAACAGAAATCACCTGATCCATCTTCCTCTTCACCAATAAAAACCTGAACTTAAAACTGCACCTAGCCATGTCATACTACATTGTAGTTATTTGTTTTTTACAAAGAGTCTATCTTTTAGAGATAGGTACTAAAATGCTTATGGATGAACTAATACATGATGTCAGCGCCTGGTTTCAAAATAATCACAAGAAGGGAGCATGAATAATTTTGGCCATGAGGCGACAATCGTTAAAGCCAGGTAATGAGCACATGGAGGTTCATTGTAAACTACATTCCTTACTTTTGCATTAGGTTTAAAATAGGACATTTTGGTTTCTAATTACACCAAGTCAACAATTCCATACAATACCTTTGGTATCTCAGGGAATAAAAACCACATTAATAACATGAAGACTTCTTTCATCCTTTGATAAGAGCAACGTGTCACTCAAAACAAAGAAACCAAATTCTTATTTTTAAAATTTGTCTTGTTTTGATTTGCAAATATTTTAACAATCTCTTAAGCAAAGAAAAATGTTTAAAGTAAAATATTAAATAATCCACTTGTTCTTATGTAACATGAGAAGCTCTAGGAACCTCTCACCACTGGGGAACCACCAACTGTGGCCATTTTCTAAGCGATCTGATGAAAAGAGAGGCTTCCACAAGGTTCAAACGAACAAACAAATAATCTCTTTATGCATCAAGAGTTTATAAAACTATACACATACTTATTTCTCATGCAACTGTTAAAACGGACATAGTGTGCCTTTCAAAGTGTGCCACGGATTTGATTTGGAATCTCAACAGTATCATATTAAATATAATCTGAGAATTGTTTCCAGTTCCTAATTTCCATCATTAGCACATTTCCATTTCTTAAATTCAGTCCTAAATTTTTATACAGCATGAAAAAGAGCCAGGCATGGTGGCTCACGCCTGTAATCCCAACACTTTGGGAGGCCGAGGTGGGCGGATCAATAGGTAAGGAGTTCGAGACCAGCCTGGCCAACATGGGGAAACGCCATCTCTATGAAAAATACAAAAATTAGCCAGGCACGGTGGTGGGCACCTGTAATCCCAGCTACTCTGGAGGCTGAGACTGGAGAACTGCTTAAACCCGGGGGCGGAGGTTGCAGTGAGCCAAGATGGCGCCACTGCACTCCAGCCTGGTCAGGGGAGGAGAAAGAAAAAGCAGTCCTGACAGTCAGGAGCTGGCCTGTTAATGTCAATGTTAGGCCATTTCACAGAACAAATGACAGGACAAGTTTACAGAACACGAACATCAGATAAGGCCACTCTGTGACTGATGAATCAAGGCACAACCAAAACCCCTCCTTAACCATGTGTGATTAAAGTTGAGTCTAATCCAAACCACAAACAACCACACAGTCCCCTATCCTGGTGATATGAATGACTGCTTCCTTACCAATCATGACGTTAGCATGGCTCCATTCTTTCTGCCTGCTAGGTAAATTTATTAAGACATCCTGTTTTAGGATTACCCCTGCTTTCTCGACCCCTCCCCCAAATACCCAACATAAACTTCATTAGTCCTCGCTCACTCCCTCTGATGGAGACACCCATTCCCCAAGGTGTGTGTTCTCCTGTACTGCAATGAGTTAATATTAATAAATCTGATTGTTTCACTGCAGGTGAGTTCCTTTGTGGCCTTTGGCAGAAGGCACTGACAAGCAAAGGAACACTCTATCTCTTTCTTCACACTTGTTTTCTGTTTTGTGTGCTTGAACAAAAAGAAATACTAAGTACATATGCATTAATGAAAAGTTAACATCAGGAATTTAATTACCCAGATGATATTACCTTTCACAACCCCCACACTCTGATGAGTCACAGATCCCCATTTGTATTTTGGTGTAGTGACAGAGGCTTTGACCCGCACTTTATCACCAATCTTGATGTGAGAAGAACTTCTTGGTGGAGGATAGCCTACAGATTTCAATAACAAATCATTATAATCAGTATTCATTTATGGGAATTCTGTCTCTAAGAAAAAGTAAAAGCACTAAACAAAGAATGTGCTCACCTATAAGTTCCACATGAATGTACCTAAACCAGTAGATGCCCCCTTTCTGCTGCCAGTCACACTGCACATTGAGATCATGCAATCCATCTCTGTCCAGCTTGATGACTTTGCCAACATCACATCACCTTCGCACACTTCTTCGTATGTTCGGCAGCATCTAACCATCATTCCCACCTAGAATTAAAATGAAATTGGAGATCCAGTCCATCATGTACACAGGTGAAATGAGCCATGATAAGTAGTATTACTCTACTCTTAATAAAGAATTTCAACTGGGCACGGTGGCTCACATCTGTAATCCTAGCACTTTGGGAGGCTGAGGTGGGAGGATCACTTGAGCTCAGGTGTTTGAGACAAACCTGGGCAACATGGCGAAACCCACCTCTACCAAAAATACAAAAATTAGCCAGATGTGATGGCACATGCCTGTGGTCCCAGCTACTTGGGAGACTTGAGTTGAGAGGATTGCTTGAGCCTGGAAGGTGGAGGTTACAATGAGCCAAGATCATACCACTGCACTCCAGCCTGAGTGACAAAGTGAGACCCTATCTCAAAAAAAAAAAAAAAAAAAAAAAAGAATTTCATCTAGCACCCAGAGTGCATTCTAAGTATTATTTAATGATAAAGGGAAGAGAAACTCTTTAGAACACTGTCTGGCTTTGTGTCTCAGGCAGGAAATATACAGGAAGAGGCTGGATCAACTTGTATCATAAAGGAAGGGAGCTTTCAAAGATTACTCAAAAGGATTCCCTGATCATCAAAAATATAACAGTGGAGACATCACACCCTAAAAGCCAATGGATTGGTCATCATGACAATAAGGAAAACAAAGCTTCCTGGTCATCTTTATACATATCAGAACACCAATGCATCATTGTGAAAACTGATGAAGTCTCCCTGTATTATCAAGAGCAACCAAGATTAATAACAAAGCTTTTTTTCACAGAAGAGAATTCCAGCTAATGAACTCAGAGAAGATGAAGTTAGAAAATCACTATGGTGCAGCCCCTAATGATAGGTCTAGGTGATGACACTAATGCCTGCTGGAGCTATGAGATGGACAATTAATACAGAATGTCATCAAGGAAGGAGCAGGCTGACAAGACCTAACCCACCCAAACATGCTTGCCTGTTGAGATGGGGCCGGAGGGAGTACATGCCTATGAAGCTTCCTGCCTGAGATTCAGCCTGGTCCAATCACCCTCCAACCCTAACTCCTACTGCATTGGAGAAACAGGGAGAGAGGAAGATGTTAGCCACAAGGAAGCCACCTCCAAATGCAGACTGTAAGACATTTGGAGGACATGGTTTCAGCCACAAATAAATAGCATGAAAGGAGAGGAAGGGAGAAGGAGGGTTACTATGAAATGAATGTTTGTATCCCCCCCGCAAAATTCATGAAGTCCCGACTCCTAATGTGGCAGTATTAGGAGATGGGGCCTCTAAGGAAGTCATTAAGGTAAAATCAGGTCATAAGAGTGGGGCTCTGACACAACAGGATTAGGGTCTTTATAAGAAGAGACTCCAGGATGGGCATGGTGGCTCACGCCTATAATCCCAGCACTTTGGGAGGCCAAGGCAGGTGGATCACCTGAGGTCAAGAGTTCGAGACCAGCCTGACCAACATGAATAAACCCTGTCTCTACTAAAAATATAAAATTAACCAGGCATGTGGTGCATGTCTGTAATCCCAGATACTTGGGAGGCTGAGACAGGAGAATCGCTTGAACCCGGGAGGCAGAGGTTGTGGTGAGCCAAGATCGTGCCACTGCGTTCCAGCCTAGGCAACAAGAGCGAAACACCGTCTCAAAAAAAAAAAAAAAAAAAAAAAAAAAAAGACACCAGTGCTCCCCTGCTAGCTCCAGCTCCCCCCATCCCCAGCCCCACGTCCACAGGAGGACACAGCAAGAAGGCAGCCACCTGGCCGGGCACGGTGGCTCATGCCTATAATTCCAACACTTTGGGAGGCCAAGGCGGGTAGATCACGAGGTTAGGAGATCGAGACCATCCTGGCTAACATGGTGAAATCCCGTCTCTACTAAAAATACAAAAAAATTAGCTGAGCATGGTGGCGGGCACCTGTAGTCCCAGCTACTCAGGAGGCTGAGGCAGGAGAATGGCAGGAACCCGGGAGGCGGAGCTTGTAGTGAGCTGAGATCACGCCACTGCACTCCAGCCTGGGTGACAGAGCGAGACTCTGTCTCAAAAAAAAAAAAAAAAAAAAAAGGTAGCCACCTACAAGCCAGGAAGAGGGCCATCACCAGAATCCAGCCAAGCTGGTACCTTGATCTTGGATTTCCAGCCTCCAGAACCATGAGAAATAAATGTCTGTTGTTGAAGCTGCCAGTCTATGGTACTGTGTTATAGCCAACTGAGCTAAGACAAGGGGGAACCACTCTAGCTTGGAATAGACTTCAAAGATCCATCAACCAAATGCAGATAAGGCATACAATCTTGGTTTATCCAAGTTCAAAAACTAACCATTAAAGCCATTTCTGAGAAAACTGGAAAACTACAAGCAAGCGTTAGATATGAGATGATATTAAGGAATTATTATTTATTTTGTTAGGTAATGCTGGTAAACAGAAATGTCATTATGTTAAGATTCTTTATTAGTGATACTCACTGACATATATACAGGTGAAATGAGATGATTTGGGGGATTTTCTCTAAAATATACTAAAACAAGAGAATTAGGACAAGAAATGATTTAAAGTAGATAAAGGACTATATAAAACATAATTAGATTTTTAAAGTTTGATGGCAATGAGAATTACATAAGAAAAACAAGGAAAGGTATGTAGGAAGTGTCACAAGTGGGGCTAGTAGAAAACAGCCATCTCTGCGCCATGTCCACCGTGGACAGGCCACTTGTGCTCTCCGGCTGCCCCTGAGCCCATCTGCCCCTCTGTCCTCTGGCTACACCGGGGCAGCCACAGCAGCCTCTGTCTGGGTGCCCATCCTGCTCAGCCACCCTTCAGCCACCCTTCACACCCTGTAGGCTTTGCACCCATCTCACCTTCTCATTGCAGATCCCGATCCCTGGACTGTGCCCTCACTCCCACCCCTTTACTGTAGTCTGCTCTCTCTCATTCCAGGGTACACAGCACCTTCTAGCGTACCATGAGCTCACTGGTCAGGTATGTCTTCCAGCACCAGAAGGCAGGCTCCCTGAGGGCAGGGGCCTCTGTCCACTGATGTTTGGCATATAGGACATACCCAAATATTTGCTGAGTGAAAAACGGATCGAGGCTCCAGCTTAAGACAATTACTCACCTGAATATTCTCTCTCACATATACAGCATAATCATCATTACCCAAGAAACCAGCTCGGTTTTTGTACGTCTGGCTCTCCGTCACAACAGCACCAGTAGACTACAAGAAATAAATACATTCAAAGAAAAAAAAAAAGGAGAACTCAATAAATCTACTCAAAAAGAAATGTCTGTGAAATCTATAATATTAAAAAGTAAAGGATGAAATCCTTTATTTTCTCTATAAAAATCTTCATTTAAAAAAGACTAATAGCAGTAGCATAGTAGGCAGAAATGAATCTCAAAAGCTACAAGTATACAAAATTTCCAAGGCACTTCCAAATTAATCCTATGAACAATTTACTCAGGTCAGAAACTGATGTGTCAAAACATGGTATTTTAATAAAATATCCTCTAATGGCTACCGAAGATCATGAGATGTTTGAACAAGGGTCTGTTCTGAAGCTAAAAGTAATTATGATATAGAAACCCAATCATCCCTTCAGTAGTGAAACACAGCTTTGTTCTGTGCCCGGCAACACCATAGGTTGGTTTTATGAAACAGTCCACAGTAGATATAGTTAATTCTTTCAAGGGACAGAGAAAGCCAAGGTGTAAGACTGTTAGAGCGCTAGACGGACAGCGGCCCAGGTGCGGGCGGTCACATGGGAGGCACTGACCATGGAGTAGGCGGCATCATCCATGTCCTCCACCACCTCCTCGTCAGAATACTCGTCGGACACCGTGTCTGCATCTGAGAGCTCCGTGACCTGTATGTCGGAGTGGTCCAGCAGCCACCCGACCAAGGCTTCCACACCTAAGAGAGGCACACACAGCACACCAGCCACTGTGAGTCAACAGCCCTGAAGCGGGAACCCACACACGTACAAGCAGAGGCCAGGAAAACGAAGTACCAGGCAAGCCGGACGCATTCCCGGAAGCACCAGTGAGAGACTTCAGGGCAAACTCGATGTTCCTTCTGGGAAATCCCATCTCCATGAGCTGCACCACGATCGGCAGAGCGGGAACGGGCGACTGCTTGCGCCTCTTCACTCTGGCAGGGCGGATGTGCTGCACGTTGACAGGCGTGGTGGCCTCACTGGAGCTGCAGTCTTCAAATCCTGGGCTCGAAGGGTGAGTGGACTCCACAACGGCCAGTGCAGCAGTCTGGGCAGACAAGAGGGTCCTGGGAGGTTTGGGAAGTGCCCTCGGCTAGCTTACACAGTCTAGGAACATGGGGCATCATGCAAGTCTAGAAAGCCCACATTCACATGTGCGTTTTTCAATGAGTTCCTAAAACATGTTAGAAAATGACAAAGCCAAGTTTCGCAGTTTAATGCAGAGAAAATACTTGGTGGTAAAATAACTTGCCTGTTTCAGCAGACAGAGAGCCTACTAAATTAGCCAAGTATCAATGTCCATTAAGGAAAACTTCATTACAGCCCTAAGCGAGCAGTCACAGGGGCTTGAGGGAGCAGGGAGAAAGGCATTTCCCCTGCCTTAACCAGGCACTGTGGTGGCGGCCACAGGCACCTGTGTTTTAGACAGGCCAGAAATGACACAGGACTCTCATGTACCATTAAAACAACCCTCAACTATTCAAGGGTTAAATAACCACAGTGAGGTTAAACAAGGTATTAAAAAGTAAGAGAAATAAAAGAGTATTAGTTGGGAAACACACTGCAATGAATCAGTGAACATCTAAACTGCCAGTCTCTACAGCTGGGAACTCCCCACCTACAGCACAAATAGCACTTCCCTGATCTGTCTGCAACTCCCTGGTCCTCCTCCCCAGCTGCTCTCATAGCACTGACTTGCTATTTTGTTAAACGGAGCATGTGAGGAAGGAATCAGGAAGAAACCGAGGACACTGTGGAGCCCCCCGGTGCTCAGGAAGTATCAAAGCCTAGGGTTTTGCAGCGAAGTCTGGGTAACTTGGAAGTGACAGGTTTCATCCTAAAAGTTTAAAATTCAGAGCCAGATTGAGCCAAGAGTTCTGGTTCTGATAATGGGGAGTTAGGGTGCATTGGACTAACCCTTGGCTGATAATAATCATGAACTCTGGATAAAATATGTTTTAAAACTGCTTGAGGGCACTGGAGAACAGCTGACGCAATCAGCAATAAAACAAGCACAACCCCTGACCCCGAGAAGCCTGCAGGTAAGACGCGCATTTAACCACAGACGGCACACCTTCCTGCACTGCAGGGGCTGGGGTCCCGGCCTGCCAGAGCAACCAGAATGTGAGGGAAAGCCCGCCTGAGAAAGAAACCACAGAGGGAAAACCACGAAATATGCGGACGGACTACCCGCAAATCTACAGCTGAATCTAAACTGAAGCACCACTGAAGAGCCTGCGCTCGGCACAAAGGGACCGCTGGAAGGCTGCAGGGGCTCCCCAGCTGCCCAGGGCCAGGACAGCATCTGAGGCTCAAGCTCAACCAACTGGAGGTGGGGAGGAGAATGTCAAGGCTTCCAGTGACGCCCAGAAGAGATTCTAAATCCTTGAGAATTAAGGATCCACAACCAGGGCTAAGGGCAAATAAAAAATCATTAGAAAGCCTGGCACCAAGCCACCTCAGGATCAAGGAGGACTGCCAGGTACTGAACTGCCTGTGAGAAGAAAACTCCCCATTCTCCAGAGGAGGCAGAACCCAGAGCCAATACAATGTAACGTCCAAAGAATCCAGAATGAAATAAAAATTCTCATATGTGAAGGACAACAACCAATAACTGACTATAATCAAGGGAAAAAAACTGCAAAGAGCAGCAGACCAACAGGTGGGCAGATGTTAGAATTAGCAAACAAGAAATTCAACATAACTATCAGAAATATGTTTTAAAATGTACAGCAAAAGATAGATTTGGCCAGGCACGGTGGCTCACACCTGTAATCCCAGCACTTTGGGAGGCTGAGGCGGGCAGATCATGAGGTCAGGAGTTCGAGACCAGCCTGGCCAACATGGTAAAACCCCATCTCTACTAAATATACAAAAATTAGCCAGGCATGGTGGCAGGCACCTGTAGTCCTAGCTACTCGGGAGGCTGAGGCAGGAGAATCACCTGAACCCAGGAGTCAGAGGTTGCAGTGAGCTGAGATCACGCCACTGCACTCCAGCCTGGTGACAGAGCAAGACTCCATCAAAAAAAAAAAAAAAAAAAAAAAAAAAGATAGACTTAAAGGATGAAGAAAGGAACTGTCAGAAGAGATATAAAACTATTAAATGAGAGCCAAATGGAAATAAGAGATGTGAGAAATATAAAATAAAGTATGTCTTGGATGGATATAACAACAGATTAGGCCCAACAAAGCAAAGCATCTTGACCTTTCAAACAGATCAAGACAAACTAACCAAGCTACTAACAAGGAGAAGAAAGACTTTCTATTAAAGTCATAAAAGGAAACTCACTAACCGTGTAACAGATGTATAATAGTATTTCCAGAAAAGAACAAAAAGAGCAAGACGGGGAAAAAAACAGCAGTCAAAAGTTTCCAAATTTGGTAGGGGAACAAAAATCAAGCCAAAGATGCAAGCAGCTTAAATAAATTTCAAGGAGGATGGTGGGGTGGGCGGGGTGGGCCACCATTGCATACATGAGCCCAGCTTAGGGAAACTGCAGAAAACCAAAGATAACACAAAATACGAAAAGCAACCAGAGAAAACAGACATTTCATACAAAAGAAGAGATGAGAACAACGACTCTCCATCGGAATCCATGGAGACAAAACAGCGGAAGGTCTTTTTTTGTACAACAGTCCTTCTCAGTTCCTGAAGAACAACTCTACACGGCCTTCTAGGTGTTCACACTCGGCATCTCCCAGCATGACTGCAGGGAGCACGTGCACCGCCCCACGTGCTCTCAAGTTGCTCAGCGTCTTTTGATCTCTGCCAGGGAGACTGGAAACACAACCAGGCCCTTTAAAATGAACCTTCACCTTGGAGGTTCCCAGACCTGAGAAGAAGCTGGAGTTCAGAAGAGCTCACGGCCAACCTCCTCCCTTCCTGCCCACACCCGTTTCTTGCTTTCTCCCTTTGCACCCCCACCATCTTTCCAGCTCGTTCTAGGATTGGGGGAGGCCTCCCACCTGTCCAAGGCAGTGGCTGCCTCATCTGGACCCTTGCTCCCAGAAGGGCCCTGCTATCTGAGGGTTTCTGTTAGAGTAATTTCTGATTGCCAAACTGAGTACTGATAGTTTTATTTTTGTCTCTGATATTTTGTCCAGATTTTTAATGTATTACACAGCAAGAAAGATTTTGGAATGAACATCTCTAATCCTCTATGTTGCCAGCCATGAAAGCTCCCATCCCTCTTACACTCAATCACGTCGCCTCCTCTATGCGAACGTCCCGTAGCCCTGACCCTGTGCCTCGCTGCTGCCCTCACCTGCTCCACAGCATGGAGAGAGCGGAGAGGCTGGCGGCACCAGAGCACCCCCAAGAGGCTCCTGAGTGAATGAAACAGACAAATGGCTGCCAGAGTCCTGACGAGCCTCTTTGAATAATTCTACTTCCTGGAAAAAGATCCCTTCATGAAGATGTGAGCGTTTAACCCATGCTGCATCTAGTTAATATTTTTTCACAATTTACACAAACCCAAAATAAGGTTAAACTTCAACCCTCTCAGTCTTTAGTATTATAATGTTCTGCAGACTATGCACAAACATGGTTAAACCCCAATGAATCATTAGAATTATTTGCGTACTATCATTTAACATTCAGAATAGATCCTTAAGAAAATATACATCTAGAAAAAAAGTGTTCACAATTTAGTGCTGTGGATTAAAAACTGTCAAGGCTGCATGGCTGTACCTCAAGTTCCTGTTTATCAAATATGGCCTTCACAGGAGACGGCTGGGTGGCCGAGGCCAGCAGCTGCTGCAAGAGGATCATGGGGGGCTGCGGCCCTTCAGGAGACATGTCCCCAAGGTCAGGTGATACCACTGCTCCATCATCTGAATTTAAAAACAAAATATGTGTAAGATTCTATTTTCAACTGCGAACACCACTTTACTATTAAAGAAAATGCATTAAGCATGTTAAATCAGGTATGACTTCTGCCTCATTATGTGATAGAAAACCAAAATCTTCAAGGTTCAGACATCGAACAAAAACTAGACTCTAGGTTGGGTGCGGTGGCTCACGCGTGTAATCCCTGCACTTTGGGAGGCCAAGGCGGGTGGATCACGAGGTCAGGAGATCGAGACCATCCTGGCTAACACAGTGAAACCTCATCTTTATTAAAAACACAAAAAAATTAGCCGGGCATGGTGGTGGGCACCTGTAGTCCCAGCTACTTGGGAGGCTGACACAGAAGAATGGCATGAACCTGGGAGGCGTAGCTTGCAGTGAGCCGAGATCACGCCACTGCACTCCAGCCTGGGCGACAGACCAAGACTCGGTCTCAAAAAAAAAAAAAAAAAAAAAAAATTAGCTGGGCATGGTGGTGCGTGCCTGTAATCCCAGCTACTCGCAAGGCTAAGGCAGGAGAATTGCTTGAACCAGGGAGTTGGAGGTTGCAGTGAGCCAAGATCACGCCACTGCACTCCAGCCTGGCAACAGAGCGAGACTCCATCTCAAAAAAAAAAAAAAAAAAGGAACTAGACTCTAAACCACTTTCACTGCCTGCTTTTGGTCTCTGTCCTTCATTAGTGCATCTGTCTCTTAGAGCCAGCAAATGCTCCTTCCCAGATTTCTGCACTTGGTCTGATTCTTTCTCTTTTTCTTGAGATGGAGTCTCACTCTGTTGCCCAGGCTGGAGTGCAGTGGCACAATCTTGGCAAACTGCAACCTCTGCCTCCTGGCTCAAGTGATTCTCCTGCATCAGCCTTCCCTGTAGCTGGGACTACAGGCACATGCTACCACGCCTAGCTAATTTTTGTATTTTTAGTATAGATGGGGCCAGGCTGTTGATTAGATTTCACCATGTTGGCCAGGCTGGTCTCCAACTCCTGATCCACCCGCCTCGGCATCCCAAAGTGTTGGGATTACAGGCGTAAGCCACCATGCCTGACCTACACACTCTCTTTCATGTTCACTCACGGCTTCAGTAACCCCTGACACAGACACATCCCACGTGCATATTTCTAGCTGTAGCTTTTCCAGCTAAGCCTTGTTGAGATCATTAAGTGACCCCAATTCCAAATGTGTCATGTGCTCAGGGTGATGGCTTTTTGTCTGTTATGAGTAGCTTTAGGTGCAGCCTTTAGGACTCTGTTTGACACAGCCCCAGGGAGATCCACTGCGCTCAAGCCCACTTCACACATCTAGGTACTCATCCAGGTACTCACAGCATTTGCATGTGCTGGTTTTCTTCAGTGACAATTTCAACTAACTAGACCAGGAGCTGGAAATCTTTCTCTTAAAGGGCCAGAGAGTAAATAGTTTAGGCTGATGGGCTGTACAGTCTCTGTCCCAACTACTCAGCTCTGCCATTGCAGAGCAAAAGCATCCAGAGACGATGTGTAAACAAGTGGTGTGCCTGTGTTCCCATAAAAATTTACAAAAACAGGTGCACGGCAGTTTTGTCAATCTAGCTCTGTTCGGAGTCCCTGCTCGGCCCAAAGCACAGACTTGATCATCCTGATTCAGGTCTGCTGTAATTGCTCATCGGGCTGAGTGCAGAACAGAACAGCCAATCCAATTCCCAGGCTCCAATCTCCCAATCTCTACAACTGGGAAATCTTCATGTTCCCTACGACCTCTACTATTAATTGATTCTATACTTTCAATTGATTTCTTTCATCCTCAGCAGGTTTAAAATTAATTTCATAGCATCCTCTCCTCTTAAGAAGCAAACACACACACTCCACATTCTACTGGACTTATTTGTTTCAAACACACTACTCAATATTCCTCCCTCAACTCAAGCTTGAAACAGCAGTCACCTTCCACTTTTTGCTGGTTCCCCATAAAGTTATCATCTACAAGACTACACCATCACAGTGGATGGCACCTTCCTTCCACCAGAACCTTCTTTCCCTTTTCATGCCTTCCCCCTCATCACCTGACGCAGGAGCAATTCTCCATCTCTGTCATCTCCTGTTTCAGATACTCCTATACCTTCCTAGCAGGTGTATCACCCGAAGGTCAATGCTTACCATGTGGCCCCTACCACAGCTTTCCAAGTGGGCCTCAAGTTTCACCCTGGTCTCCCAGGTACTCTGTAACAGGATGTCAGCTGCCCATCTAGCTTCAGCCCCACCACTCATCGAAAAACCCTGAGCTCCAAGAAGAGGAGAGCTGCTCAACGTGCTTCCAAAGACTCACCACGTTCACTCCTCTCCTCCTGCCTCCACCACCAGCAGAGTGCTTGTCTGCTGGCATCTGTCTGCCACAGCCTTCAAAGGCTGCCCGTCCAGTGCTCAGCTGCCACTGGCTCCAGACGCCTGTGGAACCACTCACATGCCTCACCGCCCCCTGGCCCCAGAGAACAAAGAGAGCCATCTGCATTCACTTCCTCTCCTCATCCAAACCCTAGAGAGCAATGATCATAGAAAAGGACTTCTCCGCAAAAGACTTAGCATAATGTCTTTCAATAGTTGGAGATCAAAAAATGTTTTTTTCTATTAAAAGTAACACAAGCTCATTCTAGAAAACTAAATATAGAGAAATATAAAGAAAATAAAGACAGCCAAAATTCCACCAAAGATTACTGGGTCACTGTTTTGCTAAACAGATAACTATGGCATATCTATAAACGGATATACATAGCAGTGTGCTTTTCTGTTCACTTATTGTTTTCATGTTTCCACAGCAATAAACATATACAGCTAGCCCTCCGTATCCATGGGTTCTGCATCCAAAGATTCAACAAACCACACATCAAAAATATTCAGAATAAAACAATTTTTTAAAATATAATTTTAAAAAGAATAGCAATAACAACTATTTACATATCATTTATTTTATTTTATTTTTATTTATTTATTTATTTTTTTGAGACAGAGTCTCGCTCTGTCACCCAGGCTGGAGTGCAGTGGCACGATCTCGGCTCACTGCAAGCTCCGCCTCCTGGGTTCATGCCATTCTCCTGCCTCAGCCTCCCAAGTAGCTGGGACTACTGGCACCCGTCACCACGCCCAGCTAATTTTTTGTATTTTTAGTAGAGATGGAGTTTCACCGTGTTAGCCAGGATGGTCTCAATCTCCTGACCTCGTGATCTGCCCACCTCAGCCTCCCAAAGTGCTGGGATTACAGGCGTGAGCCACCGCACCCAGCCTATATATCATTTATATTTTTAAAGTATTTCGGAGGATGTGCATAGGTTATATGCAAATACTACACCATTTTATAGAAGGGCCTTAAGCATTAGTGAATTCTGGTATAACTGGGGGTCTTGGAACTCATCCCCATGGATATTGAGGGAAGACTATACATGTACCATCATTTTGAATGGCACCATGATATCACACTGTACGGATACACAACATAAGAATGGGTATTTTGGTGTTTACAGTTTTTCAATACAAAAACAATACCAAAAAGGAGGCCATAACGACACTGTTGAATACATTATTTTTATTTATTATTTTTTTTGAGACGAAGTCTCACTCTGTCACCCAGGCTGGAGTGCAGTGGCACAATCTGCACCCTGCAATCCGCACACACGGCAACCTCCGCACCCCCCGGTTCAAGTGATTCTCCTGCCTCAGCCTCCCAAGTAGCTGGCATTACATGCAGCCACCACTATGCCCCGCCAATTTTTTTTTTTTTTTGAGACAGAGTCTTGCTCTGTTGCCCAGGCTGGAGTGCAGTGGCGCCATCTCGGCTCACTGCAAGCTCCGCCTCACAGATTCATGCCATTCTCCTGCCTCACCCTCCCGAGTAGCTAGAACTGCAGGCGTCTGCCACCTTGCCCAGCTAATGTTTTGTATTTTTAGCAGAGATGGGGTTTCACCGTGTTAGCCAGGATGGTCTCTATCTCCTGACCTCGTGATCCGCCCGCCTCGGCCTCCCAAAGTGCTGGGATTACAGGCATGAGCCACTGTGCCCAGGTGGTGAATACATTATCTTTACATGCCTTTTCGTGTGATAAAGTCCCACAGAATGACTTGCTGGGCCAAAGTATATAAATACATACATACATCTATGCATTTCAAAGTCCAACTCATTTCCTCAGACGCCCATTAGATGGCTACACCAACTGAAATTCCCAGCAGCAGCATGTTCATGGAGTGCGGCTTTACGCGCATTTGAAGAACCAGCTTAGGTTCATCTTGTTACAATACAGGCTCTATTTCTTTGGTCTGGGGTGCGGCCTGGGAGTCTGCATTTCTAACACATACCTGTGTGCCACCAATCTTGCTGACCCATGCAGCACACTTTAAATGGGAAGGCATGAAAATACCTTTTTCCCTCCCCACCCACCAGATGCCCTCAGTCTTGTCTTATAAGATGACGATGACAATTTTATTCACAGTTGGTGGTTGCTGGGCAGGCCACGTGTCTGTTTTGTACATTTATAAGCCACCTATGTCCATTTTTATGAACTGATTATTCACTTCCTTTGTCTACTTTCTACTGCCCTTCTTATAAAGATTTAAGAACTTTTTAAAAAGACACCTGTGTGAACAGTTCCAGTCTCCTGAACAGCTGGCTGAGACAGGATCTGCCGCAGTTTATCCTGGTGGGAGAACAGCGCCCGACCTGCTTTCAGGATGTATAGCTTCAACTGCTGGCACCGCAGCAGGTCCAGGTCCACTTGTCCTGTGGAAGGAAAGACTCAGTGAGAAGGGCGTGCCCTGCTCAGACTCCCTCCTCGCCAGCAGCAAGCCTCCGCCACATGGCGACGAGTAACGCTCTGCCCTTCAGGAATCTGCCGACCGCACACACTGTCCGTGACGAAGGGCTTGCCTTTCCCAGAGTTACACTCGGTGCTTCTGGGTAAGCATCTTCTGCCTCCTGGGTCTTCCTTCCCTGCTCTCCAGGCACCTAACTTGATAGGACGCAGGATTCAATGGGTTTAACACGGTTAGAACCATGTTAGCTACTATTAATATGATCAAATGTTCCCCAAGTTGCTGAAGTTTCAGCCGCTTCCACTCTTCTTCTAAGACTCCTCTGAGAGAATCTGTCAGCCCCACTAGCTCTTTAACTGATGAAGATCGCAGCAATGCCCAAGGCTTATCTGATAGCAGAGGCCGCAGAAGCAGCACAGAGAGCATGGGGTGGGAAGGAAGGAGGGCCGCAGGTGCCGCTCGGACACTGGCTCAACTAACTGGCAGACAGTTTTATTCACCACGATGGGAAACGGCAGCTACTAGAGAATGCCAGCCAGCTGAATTTCGGACATGTGGTGATTTGCATGCACTGCACCTCCAACCAGAGATGTGAATGGGAGATCCAGAGTTGAAAGTGCTTACATCATAAATGCTGAAGCAGCAATCGTAGGTCTGTGGGAGCAAGAGGGGAGAAAACTCAAGAAGACTGGGCAGAATACGCCATAGTTATGGGTGAAGCCACACAGACTTCCAGGACATAAAGAATGAGCAGAGAGAAGAGCTCCCTAGAAACATGGAAACAAACTCAGGAGAGCCGCCTTCTAGACCCGAAGGAAGGCAAAGCCAAGCCAGGCTACAGTCACAGTCTTAGCCATCCTGAATGTCACAGGCAAGCCAGGCGCTTCCGGGACAGAGGCCCCTGGATCCGGCAGAGAACAGGCTGTGAGCCATGGTCCAACAGGGTGACGAGGCCACAGGGCCCTGGGATGGAGGGGAGGAGGGAAGAGGTGAACAGACTTCTCTTCCGGGATAAAGGGTGACACGGAGAAGAGGGTGTGAGCCATGGGGTTCTTCAAGTGTGGCTCCGAACATGGCGACAAAGGCTGACTCGAAAATACTCATTACCACGAACACAGGGTTACATTCCCAACCGCAACTCAACAAATGGTGAGCCCACGTGAACCCCAGGACTTTAGTACGTCCGTGAATTCACTCATAAAAGAACACTGTACAAACCACACGAGTTTAAGACGGCAGCTATTTCATCAAGAAGCGCCATGTACTGACCTGCAAAGGCCTGTTTAGTCGATTTCTTTATTTTGTGCTTTTCTAACTTGCTTCCAGCGAGGTTCACCAACTGAGCCCAGACAGACAGCATGGGCTCTGTGAAGGGCAGGTTGTTCACATTAAAGGCCACGGCAGGGAGCTGGAGAGGACACAGAAGCTGTCAGAGTGTGGCCAATATGACTAACAAATGAAACGTTCTGAAAGTCATCAAAACCATGGGCTTAATCCTGAAATGCCACACATACCCGTAAGCCTTTTTATAGCTGAGAATAATCATTTTTTAAAATGACATTAAAGGCAGGATAGAGATTTACACATATAATAAGTATAATCTATATTAATTTTTCTTTACAAACCTGTCAACAATAATTACATCAGTGTGGTGGTTACTATCTTCTCAGATATTTTCTATATACTTCAAGTTTTCTACAACATGTATATATTCCTATAATAATAAAAAAGAGTACTTTATAGAAAATATAGTCAGGCCGGGCACGGTGGCTCACGCCTGTAATCCCAGCACTTTGGGAGGCCGAGGCGGGCGGATCACCTGAGGTCAGGAGTTTGAGACCAGCCCGGCCAACATAGTGAAACCCCATCTCTACTAAAAATACAAAATTAGCCAGGCGTGGTGGCACACACCGTAATCCCAGACACTCAGGAGGCTGAGGCAGGAGAATCGCTTGAACCCGGGAGGCAAAGGTTGCAGAGGGCCGACAACATTGTGCCATTGCACTCCAGCCTGGGTGACAAGAGCAAGACTCCATCTCAAAATAAAAAAGAAAAAGAATATATAGTAAGATTGCACTTGGGCTACATCAAAATAATGTAAATGGCTCCTTCTCCCTGTGCATCCTTGATTCACAGATTAAGATGACAGTAGCTGCTACATTAAGTCACGTCACTCAAAACTACTAAGCATTTTCTACATGAAGAAAGGCTGTTTTTTTAAAGGTGTTTAAACATGTTTGTTTTTTTAAAACTTGAGTTGTTGAATAAAAAGTAAACTTCATAAATTCACATTTTAAAATAATTAGAACTACCTCATAGATGCACGGTACCTTCTAGGTTGCTAAAGCCCTCTTCGTGTCTCTGAGGCTGAAATACACACGAACCACTGCTTTAAGTGCCCTGTGAGACAGGCCCTGCTTACCACAGAAGCACAAGCTCGCACAGCTTCCTGGAAGGCAAACTTCAAGTACCAGAATCAAGTTCTTTCAAGTGCTGATGTTGGTGCTCGGTTCTAGTGTAAAGTCAATTTCCCTTATCATGCAGTAACTAAGCACAAGTTCACCTACTGGTTTCAGCTGATTCAATGGGCAAACGCGACACGTCCGCATGTCAGAGAACTGCACGGTGATTTTGCCCTTCAGGGTGATGCGAGTCATGGTGACTTCTCCAAAGTCATCGTGCACAACTTGGCCGCCCAGGCACAGGCGACCATCGATGCCTCCAACCACAGCCAGGACCGCCATGAGGCCCCCCACTTCAGGGTTCTCGGAATCAGGGAAGTAGTCATCTAACTGGGCCTAGTGCAGACCAAACAGCGAGCTCGACCGGGGACACTCACGGAGCTGCCCAATCCCTACAGGTTTACTGTTCAACTAAATTAATTCTGAGAACACAAACCCACCCCTTTGGAAGGCCTTCCCGCAAAGCTGTGGGTGATGGAGCGGAGCTGGAAGTTGATGTACTTGTTGATGAGCCCATTCCACCGAGTCAGGGAGTGCAGCGTGTGCAGCAGTGCCACCACCTCCTCCGCCAGTGTGCTGCTGTGGGTGGCAGTCAGCGAGGCCTGCGGGCACACCCTGCGCCGCCTCAGCGTGGACTCTGAGGAGGAAACCAGGGGAGAAGCTGCTGCACCACTCTTCACCAGGGCACAGGGAAGGGAGACGGCCACTCACCTCTGAGTGACGGCACTACACGGCTCTTCACCAGGACACAGGGAAGGGAGACGGCCACCCACCTCTGAGTGACGGCACTGCACCGCTCTTCACCAGGGTACAGGGAAGGGAGACGGCCACCCACCTCTGAGTGACGGCACTGCACCGCTCTTCACCAGGACACAGGGAAGGGAGACGGCCACCCACCTCTGAGTGACGGCACTGCACCGCTCTTCACCAGGGTACAGGGAAGGGAGACGGCCACCCACCTCTGAGTAACGGCACGTCAGAGGAGCACATAGTGAGCAAGCTCCCCAAGAAGTCAAACAGCTTCTCCATGAGGCATTTCATGTCCCTCGCCCTTTCGGTCTTGTCCCATGACGGAAGGACTGCTTGCAACAAATGCACAGCTAAGATCTGATAAAAGAAAATTTAAAATGACAAGCATTAAAAAAAATCTGATGAGGAAACTACAGATTGTTATTTTCTTTTTTTTTTTTTTTTGAGACAGAGTCTCGCACTGTCGCCCAGGCTGGAGTGCAGTGGCACGGTCTTGGTTCACTACAACCACCACCTCCCAGGTTCAAGCGATTCTCCTTGCTTCAGCTTCCTGAGTAGCTGGGATTATAGGCACTCACCACCAAGCCCGGCTCATTTTTTTTGGATTTTCAGTAGAGACAGGATTTCACTATGTTGGCCAGGCTGGTCTCAAACTCCTGACCTCATGATACACCTGCCTCTGCCTCCCAAAGTGCTGGGATTACAGGCATGAGCCACTGCGCCCAGCCTCTCTTTATTTTCTGTTCTCATAATGCAAGTAATCATGTGAAAATTTTGAGATTCATTATTTTACAGCCAGGTAATTACACTCAAGTTGATTAGTGATTAGGATTGTCAGGGACTTTAGAAAAAAGCAACATTACAGATGCATGTGTTTAATTAAAAAAGAATTATTTTTAGTTTAATTCTTAAGACAATTACACTACAAATTCTGTGAAGCAGATGAGTAAGTAGTTGCAGGATTTACCACTTAAGAGAAAAGCAGGTAAACTGAAGGTTAGCAACTTACCAATTATCAAGGACCTCTGCCCCTTGCCTCCAGAAAATCTACCCTGTCACTTCTAGACCCTTTCTGCACTCGTTACGGAATAAAGGCCCCTGACTCTGAGGGCAGGGAACTTCAGTACATGGAGGCCTCTCTCAGGGAACTGGTTTTGCCTGGCAGCACATTACCTGCCTCTGCAGCGAGGTGGCAGTGAAGGGTGCGTGCCCTTCCACGACCTTCATGAGCAGCGTGATCCACTGCGGGGAGCTGAGGGCGCCGCACACCTGCAGCGTGAGAGCGATGCTCTGCACAAACCCCAGCGTGCACCAGCTCCGGTGTTGCTCCCTGTACACCAGCCTGTTTGGAGAAGCTGCGGGAGGGAAAATAGACATGCTTGGTAACAAGTCCCTAAAGACAAATCCCTAAAGATATATCCTTATTTTTTTATCAACTTATTTTCTACAATAAGCTCCTTTAAAATATATTGCAGTTTGTAAATTAATTCAAACTAATTCAAAGTGAGAAGTGGAAGGCGGCTTTTAAGTTAGTTCAAGAAACATTTCCGAAGTTTTCTTTTTTTTTTGTTTTTTTTAGAGAAGGGCCCTCACTGTGTTGCCCAGGCTGGTCTAAAACTCCTGGGCTCAAGTGATTCTCCTGCCTTGCCCTGCCGAATAGCTGGGACTACAGGCATTTTTAAAACCTTCTAAGTATGTGTCGTAAAAGTAGTTAGGGAATTTTAGCTATGCATTGTTTCTAGGCAATAGGAAAATGATCTATAATTCAAATAGTAATTTGCAACAGTGCATCTATTATATTTTTAATTTCGTGTTTTAAATATCTCCACAATCTTGGTTATATTTAATCTGCACCACTTAAATACTCTTTTTGTAATTTTAGTAGAGACAGTTTCCAATCCAAGTTTAATGCATCTGCATTAACAAAATGAGTTTTTCACTAGGTTTACACCACTGGATTCTGGCACCAGTGGGCCCACCTCTGCTCCGCCTGGCTCCAGGACTCCACTACTCCCTGAATGGAAGCTGAGGCTTGGAGGCTGGGCCCCCTGAGGGACCCCGCCCACAGCCCCACAGGACCTGCTCTCCCTCCCACCTCCCCCACCCTGCCCTCAGCTATCCAAGCTTATGAGGACACCTGCCTTCCTTCAGCACACTCACATGCGCTCACACACACACACACTCACTCTCACACCCTCATATGCATCCTCACACTCACACTGATACTAAGTTATTCAGACACACTCATGGGCACTCATACACCCACCCTCACACTTTCAGGTGCACTCACACCACTGTCGCAATCACTAACACACACACAATCCCAGTCACACGTATGCACAAACAGATGCAAGCTGACACACACTCCCATGCACTCTCACATACACTTACCCCTCCCAATGCATACAAAAACTCACATATGCACTCACACTCCTCAACACTAGTAATGACCGATTACTCACCCACTCACACCTTTACCCACACACTTTCTCACTTTACACTCACACCTATACTGTTATAACCTCCCATTCACTGACACAAGCAAAATGCTCACATTCACTCACACGCATTCACAATAACATCACTCGTGCTCACACTGACACAAGGCACTCATACACATTTACACAAATGCTCGCACTCAATCGCACACTTACACTTGTGCCTGCCACCCACTCATACTTCCTCACACTCACCAACCCTCACTGACTTACACTTACACTGGGTGTCTCATTCACACACCCAGTAATCCCCTCACACTCACACTCATGCCTCCCTCGTGCTCACCCTCACACACACACATTGGCTCAATGCACCGACACTTTCACTCCCACTTCACCTGAATGTAGTCACCTGCCCACTCACATGCTCTCATGGACATACACACACCCACACAACCACATGCTACAAACACACCATCACACTTGCAACACAAACGCTCAGCCACTTGCCCATCGACCGCTAACACACTCACTCTCATCAATATGTGCGGACGCTCCAGCACACCACTAATACATGCATGCTCTCACACACACTGGAGGACGCCCACATACCCACCCACACTCACACGTGCTCACTCTCAGTCACATGCACACTCACCCCACTCCCTCAGCTCACATTTCTCATACTTACTCTCCACACACACAAACACTTTATGGATTAAACTGTGCCTGTCCTCCAACTTCACATACATTCGGAACCTCAGAATATGATCTTATTTAATGAGGTCTCTGTAGACGTCATTAAGGTAAGAATTTAGGTGACATCATGTTGGATTAGAGTCAAAGAAACTCAATGAAAGAGTCCTTTCAGAGACAGAAAAGGACATGCAGAACACAGGGGCAGGGGCCATGTGAAGACGCAGGCAGAGACTGGCACAATGCGTCCCAACACCAAGGAAGCCTGGAGCTCCCAGAAGCTGGACAAAGTAAGGAAGGACCTTCCCCTAGAGCCTGTGGAAGAAGCATGGCCCTGCCCGCACCTGGATTTGGGACTTCTGGTCTCCAGAACTCTGAGAGAACAAATTTGTTGTTTGAAGCCAGTGTTACGGGTTGAATTCAGAATTGCAAAATTCGTATGTTGAAGCCCTAACCCCTACCGTACCTCGGCAGGTGACCTTGTTTGGAAATAGGGTCGCTGCGGATGTAATCAGTTTGATGAGGTTGAATGATGTCCTCATGAAAAGGGGAGATTTGGAGGCGACTCACACACAGGGAGAATGCCATGTGAAGATGATGGCAGAGATAGGGGTGACACCTCTACAAGCCGAGGAACGCTAAAGAGACCAGTAAACTCCAGAAGCTGGGGCAGAGCCCTGAAGCAGCTTCTCCCTCACAGCCCCAGAAGGAACTACCCTTGATCTCAGCCTTCCAGCCACCAGAACCGTGAGAATTTCTACTGTGTAAGTCCCCAAGTTTGTATACTTTGTTACAGCAGCCACAGGAAAGGAATCCACACACATCCACACCCACCCACATGCACACCCAGACACGACAAGCGTGCGGCCCCCAGCGCTGACTCCCTGGGCCCTCGATCTCTCATTCCATACATGTCTTGTCCGTCGTTCCGCTTTCCACTAACATTCGCAGCAGTCCGCATAAAGTCTTGGTGGCTTCACTCTGCATGATCTCAGCATGAACTCCAGCAGACAGACAAAGAGTCTGCAGTAAGTTAATAGTGCTGGTAAACATCATTGCAGTGGGGTGAATGTTCCTTTCAGTTTGTTCGGCTTCTAAAAAAAATAATCAAAATTACAAATTATATTGGCAGCCCCAGCCTCTTGGATGGTCTTACCAAGCCCAACCATGTGAAGCTTCACGTGTTTTAGGAACAGCTAAGAAATGTCACGAAACCTCCTCCCACAACCTGGATCTCCACAGATAGGATCTAGCTTTCTTGGTCCACCCCTAAATTCTCACCTCTGCTTCCCTAGAAGCGATAAAGTGCTGACTAACTCCACATTACATGAAGAGTTCAGAGTCAGGGACCACAGAGGAAAGGTAAAGGCAGGTGGCAGGTGGGGTGTGCTTGGGCAGGGGCTCTCACTGGAGGAGGACGCGATGGACCGAGACCGCAGGGCAATTCCACCAGGCCTCGGCTCACTCGCTCAGATGCAGGCTCAGCACCAACCACATGAGACTCACTGGTGATGCAGCTGCCCCCACCTGGCCACCACATTCTCAAAGAGGGGCGGGTGCACACATGAGAGGAAAATGCAGAAAGTCAGTTCCAGCCAGATCGCCGGATCCCACAGTCACTCCACACACCTGCATCGGAGGTGCCTGGGAGCTTATTTAAATTACAGGTTCCGAGGACAGAGCGCCAGCTGCAGGTGTGTCCTGACATCCCATTCTAAGGCCCAGATGGCAGTGGCAGCACCCAGCAACTGGACAGTTTGTAGGCTGCCTTGGACTAAACACCTTCCTGAGTCACCCACCAGAGTCGTCCTCTGTGTCCGAATCCTCTGCTGAGGGCTGTGCAGGGGCTGGCAGCTCTGCCAGCTTGAGGTCGTATTTTCCTTCTTTCCCCATCCTGTAGGAGTTGGTGCTGCCTGTGTCCCACTGGACTCTTATCCACCCGTCCTCTCCCAGCTCACCAATCACTCGGCCTAGGCCTGGAGGAGGCCCATCCTGAGAAAGCCAAAGTAGAGATCAGTTAGGAGGGTGCGTAACCTGCCCTGGTCCTTCCATGGCTCCCAGCAGACCTCAGTTAGGAGGGTGTGTGCCCTGCCCTGGTCCTTCCATGGCTCCCAGCAGACCTCAGTTAGGAGGGTGCATGCCCTGCCCTGGTCCTTCCATGGCTCCCAGCAGACCTCAGTTAGGAGGGTGCGTGCCCTGCCCTGGTCCTTCCATAGCTCCCACCAGACCTCAGTTAGGAGGGTGCGTGCCCTGCCCTGGTCCTTCCATGGCTCCCAGCAGACCTCAGTTAGGAGGGTGCCTGCCCTGCCCTGGTCCTTCCATGGCTCCCACCAGACCTCAGTTAGGAGGGTGCGTGCCCTGCCCTGGTCCTTCCATGGCTCCCACCAGACCTCAGTTAGGAGGGTGCGTGCCCTGCCCTGGTCCTTCCATGGCTCCCACCAGACCTGCCACACAGATGTCGCCATATGCCACCCTGTCTGTCAGGGGCTGTCCCCAGACACAGATTTCACCTCTCCTACAAAATGTGTGCTTGCATCATTTTAAATTAAATGGCATAAAATAACGTGCTCATGCTGCTTTACCAAGGAAGTCGGGGAAATCTCATCTCAATGAGGATCCTCTGAGTCAATGCAGAGACAGGGCTTTGCAGCAAGTCCTGTCCCCACAATCCCTCACGGGCCTTGCAAGAGCGGAAACCTGAAACAAGCACCAGCACCTCCACATTCCCTTTGCTTCAGTTTCCCCTGGGCCCCAGGGGGAAGCTCTGTCTCTCACTTCTGCAGGAGAAAGCTGTTTCTAGGATGGATGCTGTCTCCAGACACTGCTATTTCTAAGATGACTGTGACAAAGCCAGGGCTTACCAGCGTGGCTGAGAAAAGCCAGACAGACCATGGGAAGGTGAACACTGCCCTAACTTAGCTAGGGCTGTGGTAAGTGACTTCCACCTGGGGGCACCTGGCAGAGATTTAGAAGAGACCTGCGATGAGGGAAGATGGAAACGTGGCCACAGGCCCATGAAGTAGATCCCTAACTACTGGCTTCAGGGCACTTCGCAGCACATGGCCATCAGCCCACAGGGGCAGCATCTGGGCTTCCTGCCTCAGAGCCTTCACTACACCAACTTTCAGAATGAGATTTACTCTCTTGCTCACTCTCACACTCTTGTTCCAGTGACCCATCAAACTGAGCCTCATGCCAGTGAGTTTCCTGAAAAGAGCTGCCTCTCTTTCCAGACTTGATTCTGCTCAGATGCCCTACTTATGATTCCCTGTTTGTGTTCACTCCCTTCAGCTGCTCGGGAACCAACACCTGTGTCATCGATCAACTGACACATCCTGGATTATTCCAATTTCCACCCACCAATATCGTACAGAACTATGCAGAAGATAACTAATGTGTGGCTAATGTGTTCACATCAAATCTCTGAGTACCTGATCGCCCCATTTCCAGTCCACACCTCTCATGACCCTTGTTCCAATCTTCATCATGGCAGCCAGTTCTGGCCCTGAAACAGGGAGCTGCACAGGAGCCGTTTCCTTCCTTGTTTCTTCCAAAACTGTGGCAGAAGCACCTTGGGCAGAAGCATTCATATCTTCCTCAACGCTGTCACAACTGGGGCCTGACGGAGCGTCAAAAACAATAGCTGAGCCAACAAGTAGCTACAGTGTCCCCTTAATACACACAAAACATTCACAAAGTACTAATGAAGATCGTAATTTTGAACAATCCATACTATATGTTTTATCAATATAATATTATGAATATTTTACTGATATAGGATAAAAAGAAGATAAACGGAAGGATGAAATACATAAATATCCTAGGAAGATATAAAAGATATTAAAATGCTCAGTAAAGCTACTTTCTCTACTTCTAGGAATTACTCCCCTGAAAAAAGCAAAATAACTGAGTTAGAAAGATCCTCATCACATTTTTTATTAATAGAAAAACAAAGATAACTACCTAAATATCTAACAGTGGGAAACTAACAAACTTTAATCATGGTTCTGTGCAGAAGACAGCTAACAGCTGGCCCGAGATACAACCTCAGACAGGGTTGCTGCAGGCTGGCCCTCAGCTGGAGTCTGGATCTCAGGAGGGCTCCCCCATTCCCTAGGTGGTAGGTGTGGTTCCCTGTGCCTGAACTGTCTGTACAAACAATGTGGTCTGTGCTGAAACCTGCTTTCCTTAGTCTGGAACTTGGTACACGCCAGGCAGGGGGTGCCCGTGTGATCAGTCCTGATGGAAACCGTGGGCCTGGAGTCTCTACCCAGCTTCCCGGCAGACAGCACTTGACACGGCTCGGTGCCAGGGCAGTTAAGCTCGTCCTGTGTGGATCCTGTGGAAGCTTGTACCTGCTTTCCTCTGGACTTTACCCATGTCCTTTTTCATGATTTTGCTCTGTGTCCCTTCACTGTAATAAACTATAGCCCTGAGTACAACTACATGCTGAGTCTTGTGAGTCCTCCTGGCCAACCATCAAACCTGGGGGTGGTCTTGGAGACCCCTGACAATTGGTGCCCTGGGTGGCTACAGAGTCATCCGTAGCACAAAACAGAAGCCGAGCTGCTGTCACCTGAGAGAAGTAAAACTTCCCAATGGATCTGAAAATAGGAGCGCTAACCCTAGGAGAGTAGGCTAGATTTTTAACCCCCCTTTTCCCACTTGCTAAACTGAGAGGGGGTAGGAGTGTGGTTCTGGTAACTCCCTTGATTTTAGTTTTCTCCTCCAGGTGGGAGGGAAAAAGATCCAAACAGTCCCAAAGGTGGGCTGGGGTGGACCAAAAAATGTAAAAAGTTTGTGTTTCTCTCTCTTCCAAGAGAACAAAAAAGGATATTCAATTCCCAGGGCTGGAGCAAAACTTTAGATAAACTAGCAGGAGAAACAGCCTTTCCTTTAGCCTAGCCGCTACTTGAGGGCCCCCAGGAAGGGGCCCCAAGGAAGGGACAGGAGTTGCATTCCAGGTGGATCTCCCAGGAGCCCCTGGGCAGCTATACTGTTAACTCTGTAAAGACTGAATGTATTGCTAAGGGCTTGAATAAATTTGCAACCAAAACCGGGGGGAATTTTTTTATTTTACATAGCTTTATGTTTTGTGGCTGTTACATGTGGATGTATACATTAAGCTGGTATAAAATATTATATGTTTATAATTTCTTAAATGATAAGAAGGATACCCTGATCAGGGCAGGCTGCAAATATAGACGGATATTCATGAGACACAACTTCCTTGCTTTTTGCAGCCAGTGGGCCAGATGAAATTTAAACACATGAATATTATCAACAGAACAAGTCCCCATACTTAATGATTTGTGCTGTGATTTTTACTTATTGGAACCTCTGGGGGAAAAGTAGACAACATAAAAAGGCCATTTCTCGATGGAGATATGCTTTTGTAATTTTTAAATGCAACTTTTGGTTGCTAATGAGGCCTCAGGAAATCAGATATAACCCTTACTAGATGATTCTTTTCAGCTGTAATATACATATTAAAATATATATTTAACATAATACAACATATAAACATAATATATAAATTAAAAAATAATTATATATATATATAGAGAGAGAGAGAGAGAGACAGACAGACAGACAGATAGAAAGATTCCACCCACCCCCAAGACAGGATTTCACTCTGTCACCCAGGCTGGAGCCCAGGCTGGAGTGCAGTGGCTTGATCTCCGCTCACTGCAACCTCTGCATCCCTGGCTCAAGCAATCCTCCCACCTCAGCCTCCCAGGTAGCTGGGACCACAGGCACACACCACTATGCCCAGCTAATTTTCGTATTTTTTGTAGAGAGAGGGTTTCGCTATGTTGCCCAAGTTGGTCTCAAACTCCTGAGCTCAAGCAATCCACCCGCCTGAGCCTCCCAAAGTGCTACGATTACAGCCTGGCCTGATACATATTTTTGAATGGATTAATGTGAACTCTAAAACTGATGTGATTATAAGAGCTTGGGAAAACCTTGCTTTTTCACTGTGACTTTGACAACTGGCCCTGCAGCATCTCAGTTTTAGCCAAAGAACACCACCATAAACCAATCAGATCTAATAGACATATACAGAACATTTCACCAAAAAGAGCAGAATACACGTTCTTCTCAAGTATACCACAGGACACTCTCTTAGACTGACCAGACCATATGTTAGGCCACAAAGTCTCAAATTTAAACAGACGAAAATCATACAAGTTACCTTCTCCAACCAAAAGGAAATGATGAGAAATTAATAACAAAAGGAAAAGTGGAAAATTCACAAGTATATGAAAATTAAACAACACATGGTAAACAATCAGTGGGTCAAAGAAGAAATCACAAGGGAAATTAGAAAATACTATGAGATGAATGAAAACACAACACACCAAAACTTCTGTGCTGGGCCAAAAGCAGGGCTAAAAGGGGCAATTATACTATAAAAGTCTGCATTTACAAAAGATGATCTCAAATCAATAACTCTACATCTGGAAGAACTAAAAAAATAAGAACACAATAAAAACCAAAGTTAGGCCAGGTGTCGTGCCTCACACCTGTAATCCCAGCACTTTGGGAGGCTGAGGCAGGTAGATAACTTGAGCCCAGGAGGTTGAGGCTGCAGTGAGCCATGAGTGCGCCACTGTACTTGGGCCTGAGGGACAAAGTAAGACCCTGTCTCAAAACAAAGACAAAAACAAAAACAAAAAAATACAAAGCAGAAAGAAGGAAACGATAGAGATTAGAGCAGCCATAAATTAAATAGAGAATAGAAAAATAATCTACAAAACCAAAAGTTCGGTTTCTGGCAAGAACAAAAAATCTGACAAACTTTTGGTAAATTAAGAAAAAAAGAGGCCAGTCAAGGTGGCTCACGCCTCTAATCCCAGCACTTTGGGAAGCTGAGGTGGGCGGATCACAAGGTCAAGAGATTTAGATCATCCTGGTCAACATGGTGAAACCCCATCTCCACTAAAAATACAAAAAAAATTAGCCAGGCCTGGCGGCAGGCGCCTGTAGTCCCAGCTTACTTGGGAGGCTGAGGCAGGAGAATCACTTGAATCCAGGAGGCGGAGGTTGCAGTGAGCCAAGACTGTGTCACTGCACTCTGGCCTGGCAACAGAGTGAGACTCCATCTCAAAAAAAAAAAAAAAAAAAAAAAGAAAAAAAAAGAGAAAAGATGCAAATAACTAACATCAGAAATGTAAGTGGAGACAGTACTACCAACATAAAAATAAAAAAGATTATAAAAGAACACTGTGAACAACTGTATGCCAACAAATAAAATAGCCTAGATAAAATGGACACATTCCTAGAAACATAAATTACCCAAACTGACTCAAGAAGAAATAGAAAATCTGAATAGAGCCATAACAAGTAAAGAGATTGAATCGGTAATTAAAAATCTTTCAGGCCAGGCGCCGTGGCTCACGCCTGTAATCCCAGCACTTTGGGAGGCCGAGGCGGGTGGATCACGAGGTCAGGAAATCGAGAGCATCCTGGCTAACACAGTGAAACCCCGTCTCTACTAAAAATACAAAAAATTAGCCGGGCGTGGTGGCTGGCGACTATAATCCCAGCTACTCAGGAGGCTAAGGAAGGAGAATGGCGTGAACCCGGGAGGCGGAGCTTGCAGTGGGCCGAGATCATGCCACTGCAGTCCAGCCCGGGCAACAGTGTGAGACTCCGTCTCAAAGAAAAAAAAAAAAAAAATCTTTCAACAAAGAAAAGCTTAGGTGGTCAACTCTACCAAACATTTAAAGCTGAACTGACACCAATCCTCAAACTCTTCTAAAAACAGAATATATGGGAACACTACCTAGTTCATTCTATGAGGCCATTATTACCCTGATAACTGTAAAACAATAAAATATTGCTGAAAGAAATTAAAGAGGACAGAAATAAATGGAAAGACATTCCACATTCAGAGAATGGATGTTAACATTGTTAAAATGGCACTATTTCCCAAAACAATCTACAGATTCAATCCCTAGCAAAAATCCCAATGGTCTTTTTTTGCAGATATGGAAAAGCCAGCCTTGAAGTTCATGTGAAAATGCAAGGGACCCAAAGTAGCCAAAATCATCTTGAGAAAGAAAACACACTTCTCAATTTTAAAACAGTACAAAACTACAATGTTCAAAACAGGGCGGTACCTGCACAATTATCAACATATAGAATGTGATAATGTAATTGAGAGTCCAGAAATAAACCTAAATATCCACAGCCAACTGATTTTTGCCAAGGGTACCCAGAACTTCAGGGAAAGAACAGTCCTCAACAAGTGGTATTGAAACAATCAGATCAACAAAAGAAAAAGGCTGGACTCTTACCTCACACTGTGTAAAAGAAATTACCTAAAAATGGACCAAAGATCTAAATATAAGAGCTGAAACTATAAAACTTACAGAAGAAAACATGAGGATAATCTTCATCAACCTTGTGTTTGGAAATGGCTTTTTGGATATGATATCAAAAGCATAGACGACAAAAGAGAAACAGATAAATTGAACTTCATCAAAATAAAAAACTTCTCTATCTAAGGGAATACAATCCAGAGAACAGGAGAAAATACCCTCAAATGATATACCTGATAAAGGTCTACAGATCTGTGAAGGTCTAGTATACACGAACTTTTTAAAGAGTCTGAGGACTGGTGTTAATTCTTCTTTAAAGGTTTGATACACTTATATAGTGCATTTATTGGTACAACAAGATGACGACAAATAACCCTATTTAAAAAGGAGAAAGGGGCTGGGCGCAGTGGCTCACGCCTGTTATCCCAGCACTCTGGGAGGCCAGGGCAGGCAGATCACCTGAGGTCAGGAGTTCCAGACCAGCCTGGCCAACATGGCGAAATCCCATCTCTACTAAAAATACAAAAGTTAGCCAGGTGTGGTCGTGTGTGACTGTAATCCCAGCTACTTGGGAGGCTGAGGCACAAGAAGTGCTTGAACCCGGGAGGTGGAGGTTGCAGTGAGCCGAGATCGTGCCACTGCGCTCCAGCTTGGGCGACAGAGTGAGACTCCGTCTCAAAAAAATAAAATAAAAAATAAAGAGAAAGGGACTTGAATAGACACTTCTCCAAAGAAGATATACAAATGGCCAACAAGCACAAACATGTAAAGAAGCTCAATGTCATTCATCATTAGTGAAATGCAAACCAAAATCACAATGAGATACCACTTCACACCCGCTAGGATGGCCTTAATCCAAAAAAAAAAAGAAAACCACAAAAAATAGTGTTGGCAGGGAAGCAGAGAAACTGGAACCCTGGAATCCTGCCCACTGGTGATGGGAATGTAAAAATGATATGGCACTGTGGAAAACTTTGGTAGTTTCTCAGTAAGTTACACATAGTTGTACCATATGACCCTGTAATTCCAGTCCTAGGTGTATAATCAAAAGAACTAGAAACAAGTGTTCAAACAAGTACTTGTATATAAATGTTCCTAGCAGCACTATTCACAAAAGTCAAAAGGCAAAACCAACCCAAATGTCCATCAACAGATAAATGAGTAAACAAAATGTTATATATTCATACAATGAAATCTTTTTCAGCCATAAAAATAAAGTACTGATATATACCAAATGAAATAACCCAGACACAAAGGCCACAAATGGTATGATTCCATTTATATGAAATATCCGGGATATGCAAATCCATAGACAGAGAAAGCAGATTTGTGACTACCAGGGGCTGGAGAGCAGGGGAGTCAGGACTGATGGCTAAATGGGGTGCATTTATAGTGATGAAAAAGTTCTACAACTAGACAGTGGTGATGACTCTAGAAAATTGTGAATGTATTTAATACCGCTGAATTGCGACGTTAAAATGCTACACTTTCTGCTATTTGTGTCTTACCATAATTTACAAAAAGCTTTTTTAAAAAAAAAGAAAGAAAATAAATCAAAGCAAAATCTTGACGTTTTCCCAAAGGCTCTCAAGCCAGTGCAGACCTACCAATCAGGCGCAGTGCCGTCTGAGCGAGGGCCAGCGTGCCGGAATTGAGCAGGAGGTCAAGGTTGTTTGCGCTGTGCTGCAGGGTGAGCATGCTGAGCATCACCAGGAGGAAGTGGGCTTGCGGGATGGTCCCCAGGCTCGGTCCCGATGGGTTCTCATTGGTGATGGTTTGCAGGGGAACCGGCTGGATACCTAATGAGCATTGGCACCCACTGACATTTCTTGTAATGGATACAAGAATAAATGTAATGCAGAAAGCACGGGCAATTACTCTAAACATCTGACTAATAAGCACTGACACCCACTGACATTTCTTGTGCGTGGATACAAGAATAAACGTAACGCAGAAAGCATGGGCAATTACTCTAATCATCTGACTATTTTGACACCCACTGACATTTCTCTCGCATGGATACAAGCATAAACGTAATGCAGAAGGCACGGGCGATTACTCTAAACATCTGACTATTTTTCAGTGGTTTCCACAGAGTGGGCAGCTCTGTCATGCTGCACGATGGGCCTACCCCCTGCATTCTATGCACAGGTCGTTCCATCTGTCTACAGGACTTAGTATGTTGCTCTCTGAATACACCGGTGCCCTATTCCATTCCTTCCATTTCAAATATAAAAGTTATGTCTCACTTTTCCTCCACAAAACCAATCCAATCAACTCTCTGTAGATGCTCAAACTATCCAGGAAATAAATATCAATATAGGACACAGACACTTTAGGATATGTGGTGATACACATAAAAATGTCAAAATGTAAAAATGTTATACTAGAGTACTTCAACATTGTGTCTCCTGCTAAATTTTAAAGTTTTGTTTAAAATCTGAGAAAGCTGACAGCAGCATAGATTATACAAGTACAAAGTACAAACTTATTAAAGTCTTCTCAAAAGCAAAAATTGGCATTTGCAAGTTTCCACAACATATAATTAAAGGCAAACTATAAAATAACATTGATACAATTATTGACTCACCAAGCTCTTTAAATTTGGCACTGGCATCCACCAAAACATTTCGAATGTTCTGAACAGCCCAAGCGTACAGCTTGCCAAAGGTGACTTCCAGCAGCATCCGATTAAAAGGCGGGATCAAATCAACATCCTTTAAACAATCAGTAAGAGGTTCCCTTTCAAATAAAGATAAAGAATTTGACTCGGGACACTGCCAGACTTCTAACTGTTACAGAAAAACATTCTGTTGCCACAGCTTCCTTAATTAAGAAAAAAATATGCTAACGTTTTACCCTATATCGATTCCCTCAGGAATAAGTCTTTGCCATCCACAAAACATCGCATACGGCACAGATGGAAGTAAGAAATTCTTGCTCACCAGATACAATTTTAAAATTGTATCTATCCCTTCCAGGCGAACCTCTGCTCTCTCCAACTGCAAAATATCAATGCATACAGTTAAGTGTTATGTATATTACCCAATGCAGAGAAGCATTTCTCATCAAATGTTACCTTTTAGTAGGCACTTTCTCTTTTCCACATCCACTGGCTCTTCTTTAAGGGCAAATTCAGCAATTGTACTGAGGAGTGGAGACTGCGGATAAAGACCCTGCACATTCTGCTTCAACCACTTGTATTTGTGAACACCTGTAACAGTACTCAACAGCGGCTGCCATTTGTCCTAACAAAGGAAAACAATTTTCATCATTAGTCTACCCTATTTAATAATAAACTGTGCTCTAAAAGTTATTCAAGTAAAATATAAATAATGCTTATGGGTTTAAATTGGTTAAAATACGTTAAATTTAGTAATACATGTTTTTAAAACTATGCTATAAATATAAGTGAATTTATAATCTCTATACTATATGTTGGAACAGGCTAGCTTGGCATACTAAGTTAAGTTATGGTTCATATTAACAGCCACAGGGCCCAGCACTGTTTCTGGAACAAAGAATATATTTAAGGAATGAATGGTGAATAATTAATGATACAATCTAATACCAAAAATAAAAGGAAACCCTTCTCCAGCTACAGCTCTGACCAGGACATCATAAGTCAAGTTCATGAAGCATCACTGGGGCCGTATTTCTAACAACCGCCCGTCCCTCCCTCCAGATGCTCAGGTACAGAGGTACAAGACTGTGGATTCCTGTGCTACATGCTACGATTCTATTCAGCCAACCTCAGAATCACAGAAAATACCGCACCTTGGGTGATTTAATTGCAATGGGTCTCTTGTCCACATTTATTGGACTATGAGGCAAAATGCAAGCTTCTTCTAAATCACTCTCTTCGTTTCCAATTTTTTCTTCATCATCCGTAGATTCTGGCTTCTTAGGAACTGTGTTTTAAAACATCATTCACTATAAAAATCATACACTTAAATATTAATTTTAAATTAAGACATATTTAGATTTACATGAAGGACAAATATTTCATTCAAATAAACATCTGAACAACATTATAAATTGCAATGCTCAACAACAAGAGTGAAATGATCACCCTGGCAGAACAAAAAGACAAAGTGAGAGTGCGACGAGGGGAGAAGCCCCGAAGCAGGGGAAGCCCGGCAGCCAGCAAGCTCTTCCTCAAGTGCCAGAGAGTGAACATTTGAGTCTTTCAGGCCATGCTGTCTGTCGCAAATACTCAACTCTGCTGCTGTAGCACAAAAAGTAACCACAGATAAAGCAACAGGTGTGGCTGTGCTCCTGTAAAACTTTATTTATGGTGCTACAATTTTAGCTTCATGTAATTTTCATGTGCCAAAATAATATACTTCTTTTAATTTTTAAATAACAATTTCAAACTGGAAAAAAAAAAAAAGGTCTTAGTCCATGGGCAACCCAAAGCCAGCAAGAGGTAGAATTTGGCCCATAGTTCCTGGCTTGTCCACCCTGGTCCAGTTCAGTGGTTCTGTTACTGTGTAACTGAATCAACTGAATTCACTGTGATATGTGGAATCTCCTCCCTATACTTTATCTCTTTTAAAATTTTTGGTCTAAGTCTCCTCAGCATATAATATAAAAAATAAGCAACATGATAATACATCTGGGCAGTAAAGAGCTAACATAGCAGGCCGGGGTTGCTCAAACCCTGCAAATTCCCAAGGAAGGTCTGTCCCTTCAGGATTGGTCCTTCTTCTAGGAGCTGAGCTCTGAGCCCTTGGAACATCCTGCCTGAGAAGTTTTTTGGTATACCTGACACCCAGGACCTTGTGGCAGTGGTCTGGCCAGGTAGTTTATGCTAATGATGGGACTTGCGAGGGACCACTTGTTTTTGCACTGGGGCACTGGAGCCTGAGTGAGGTCAGTCACAGGGGCACTGCCTGCGTATGTGACTGGCCCCCAACAAAATCTCTAGACTCGAGGCTCAGGTGCGCTGGCCTGGTTAACAATTCTTCACACATGATGTGACACTATTGCTGGGAGAGCTAAGCACATCCACGTGACGCCACTGGGGAGAGACACCAAAGCGTGTGCCTAGTTTCCTCTGGACTTCCCTCCATGCACCCTTCCCTCTGCTAATTTTAATCTGTATCCTTTTTGCAGTAAAAACACAGCTGTGACTATAACAGCTCTTCTGAGTCCTTTTAGTGAATCATCAAGCCTGAGAGAAGGCTCGGGGATCCCTGACACAGCAACAGGAATATTAATCACTTAATCTTTTCAAGTTACTTAATTTCCAAAAAAAAAAGAAAACCAGCTTGAAACACCACACGATAAATCTATAAACCCACAAGAAACTCTAAAAGTGACAGTGTGGGCTCAGAACCCACGGATATGAGATGGCAAATGTGGAGTCTCTCTCCCTCATTCCGAGGCAGCCTGTCTCCTGGGCCCAGGCTGAGTTCCTGCATGCCTGGGTTAAAGGAATCGCAGCAGTGTGACTGCTGTGACTTCCTGATCCAGAGCACCCCTCGCATTCAGACAGGCTGTTATGGTGTAGGGTTTGTTCAGGAACAATCAAATTAGGATGGCTTCTAACACACTTTAGTCTTTCATAAGCTTATTGTTCAAAATGCCCATCAGAAAGTCAGTAATCAATACTGTTCAATAAGCAGGTTTGTGAGTAAATCAGTATAAGTCATAATATGATCAGAGGCCAGGCGCGGTGGCTCACGCCCGTAATCCCAGCACTTTGGGAGGCCGAGGCAGGCAGATCACGAGGTCAGGAGATCAAGACCATCTTGGCCAACATGGTGAAACTCCGTCTCTACTAAAATATAAAAATTAGCCAGGAGTGGTGGCGCGTGCCTGTAATCCCAGCTACTTGGAAGGCTGAGGCAGGGGAATCGTTTGAACCTGGGAGGCGGAGGTTGCAGTGAGCTGAGATCGCACCACTGCACTCCAGCCTGGCAACAGACCAAGACTCCATCTCAAAGAAAAAAAAAAAGGATATAATCAGAAATTTCTGTAGTTTATTTATAATCACAAGTGACTAAATTCTAAACTATTTTATAATTTCTAAGCATTTTTATTCAAATTTGGATTTAATGCAAAAAGACTTTTCTGTACCCTTACACAGCTACTTCCAGGAAAATGTCAGTAACTCTTTTAGCTTCCCTTTATAGTTCTTCATGTATCAGAATACTCAATATTTCCAAACAAAAAACATTTCTTTAGAAGAATGGCAATAAGTTTAAATGTTCCCATTATATCTCATTACCAGGATAACTAATAAAAGTACTTCCTTGTTCCCATCAATTTAGCAAAGATTATTTACGTTTTCAACATCAATTTACTAGTAATCAAATCATACCACACTCAATTCCTAAACTGCCTCATTGTCTGATCATTTGGAAAAATAAGCGAGATGTCTGTATTTAATCCTAACTATAATAAAAATGATGGCAGCAGGTAGAAATGTTACATGGAATCAACAGTAGAGAAACTTCACTCTGAAATCACAGATCCAACGTGGCAGGGTGAAGCACAAGCTTTAATAGTATCTTCTGTCCTTTTACATTCTTACCTCTCTTTTTCCTTGGTTCTCGAATTATCTTCTGAGCTATCCTCCTCCAATGGGGCAAAGAACTTAACAATTTAAACTTAGACATTATAGAGAGGTCATTACAAACAGCAGGTCTCAATTCATTAAAGAGGAATCTCAAACGTTCGATGACAGGAGCGCAGACCTCCTTGTAAGAACGGCCCTGTTCTTGATGAGTCTGCAAAGTTAACCAGGAAAAGACAACTTTAACAACAAATATTTCAGCAACTGTCTGCAAAGCACAGAATAAAAAGAATTAAAATCTATCACCTTAATGAGCGAACATTTTGCTTGGTAGACAACTCTACAAACATCCACCACTGACTTAGGCAACGTTCTGTGCTTTACTTGCTCAATACCAAGTGCACCTGCATGAACTAAAGATAATGCCACATGACCTGTAAAAAGACATTTAAAAGAAGGGCAGTGAAGGAATGAATACGTACCACAGGTTAGTCGAGGAATCGCAGTGTAGCTAAAGTACAAAGATATTGAGCTCCTTACCTAAATCTTCATGTTTTAAGAGGCAACATAACAGCAAGCGACCGACCTCTTCCACGGGATGCTCGGGGGGAAACATGATCGGTGTGGTCAAATGGCACTGCCTACAGTACCTTTCTATTTGACACAAAAAGTCCTGCAACAGGAACAGCTGGAAGTAACTTCAGGGAAACCCAGTGAGTCTTCACAAATCTTAAACATGCCACAGCTTCTGACGCACTTGCAATCACTAATGCTTCTGAAGCCTCGCTAGCATGTTAACACAATCAGGTTCTCACCTCAAAACCCTCCAAATAATACATGAAACAAAGTCTGTGCTGTGTTAACCAAAGAGCACATAAGTATTCCTATGTCAAAGTCCTCAGATAAACAGAGCACTGAGGTGGCAGTGGGGGCAGGCCTAGCTCACCTTCACGTTGTGATCCTGAATGTTGTTGTCTGCAATGGCTTGCAGAAATGCCTGGGAATGGTCCCCCAGGGCCCGTCTGTGGGAGCAGAGTCGAGATTTGCTGGCAGGTGTGCCCCCTGGGGAGCTGCAGTGGTCCTCGTCTTTCTCCTCGTTGTAGCTGTAGTGGATCTGGCTGGTCTGCAGGCCTCCAGAGAAGATGGATGACTGAAGCCATTCTAGAAAATGCACACGCAAACATGAAAGAGAAACTCAAGTGCACAACTCAAAATAAATACTAAAAAAAAAAAAAGATGCTCAACTGAACACTCAATTTAGAAGGTGAAATTCAGCATCATTCATATGAAAGAGCTCCACCTAACATGTTTACACAGGTTGACTTATAATTCCTCTATCTACGTGAACACACTTTCTGGTGAGTCCACACGCCTCAGGCATGGCATCAGAACTCAGGATCGTAGTTCCAGTCCAACATTCTCTGGATACCTGTGCTCTGCCTGCAGCTGCCTGGTTCCACAGGTACCGTGTGAAGACTGAGGTGCACATTCTAACAGGGAAGGCAGCAAAGGGCACCGCTGACACAATTAATCACAGGATTTCAAGTCCAAAACTGTGCAACAGATGACTATGGGGGTACCAGGGAGACTGGAAGACAGACCACCGCTATTCTGAGGGTCAGTGAGGGACTTGTGGAAGCAACAACTGAGCTAAGATGAGGAATAAGACCCAGACGCTGAGTATCCAGGCAGGGAACAGCACATCTGAAGGGTTTCTACAAAGAATTACATCCTCAGGGTAGGCTATGTATTCCTAGAGCACTTATAAAGGAATGAAAAGGAGAAAATATTTAAGAAACACACAATCTGTAATGAAGGATAGATCCTTGGAGATGGGAGGGCCGATGGACTGGAAAGGAGACCTGTGCGTGGTGCAAGGCATGGGATCAACCAGTGCGAATGTTAATTACAACTGCTTATGGCAACTTGAGGGAGTGCACCACTACAGATCTCTATTAACGATCTGTGTTATCAAATACTGCTCCAAATCCAAGCAATCAAAGCGGGATGCACTTAGTGTTCTTTTACTGGACATTTAGATTTTAGAGCACTCAGGAGCATTCCCCAACACACCACATTCGTTCTTCTGAAACACTAATCCAATGCCGACTCTCTCTGGCCCCCTCTCTTTAAGCACAGGACAGCCCCTCCTTACTGCTCCAAGATAAGCCTCTGATCCTCCTGTGGATCGGACCCACCTGCCAGGGCCCATGGCACCCTCTGCCCTGGAGCTCGCCAGCCCTGCCCTCCTTGCCAATTTAAACAAAGCCCATCTTCTGGCAAGCAATGAGCCTTGAGGAGGAGGGAAGGAAGCAGACACCTCAGAGGGCACCACAGGCAGCCCAGCACCTAGCACTGCACAAAGGTCCGCCCAACGGGGGGCTGTATGGACACCAAGATCCTCCTTCCCTGCAAGCCTCTGCCACACCCACTCCTGCAAGCAGCAGGAAAGCCCTGCTCCTCTCAGCAGTGCCCTTGACACTCCTGTGTTTTCTGCCCAGAATGCTCTCTCACGCAATTTCAGGACTGCTGCCAATGTGAAGCCTTTCTTCTCCCAGAACCATGTATGAACATCTCCATTTCACCATTCACCACCTTGTAATGTGACCTGCTTAGAATGGTGGCTCATCAACAAGCAGCAGCTGAAAGCAGAGGCGTGTCCTACCCATCACTGCATCCTGAACACCTCGCATGGTAACGGCACCAGAAAGCAGAGGTGTGTCCTATCTATCACTGTATCCTGAACACCTCGTATGGTAACGGCACCAGGCAAATGCTCAACAGAAGCTGCTCACATGGATGGACAGACAGACAGATGGGAAATGCACAACTACATGAAGGAAAATGGAAACACATCTTAGGAGACAGAAAGAAGCTTATTATTTTAGGTGGTTACAAAGGCTGCCATCCTGAAATATAACTGCCTTGAGCCTGGTCTGGTAAAAACGCAGTGCTCAAATAGTATGCTCTTCCCTGAGAGGACAGCTGATCCACATTCTGTGCAATTTCTGGGCATGCAGGGAGACAAAAGCCATGCTGGGCCCATCAGGCAGAGGCTGCAATACGTGAGACCACCAAGGGCAGACGGGTAGACATTCCTGCACACTTTTTAGCTTCCTCTGCAGCAACAGACCATGAGGGCAAATGACAACCACTCACAGCTGTTTCTACCTGATTGAGTCTCACTATCCTTATTATTTTTTTTTTTGTCATCATCAACTGTGTTGAATCCTCCTCTCCTTTTTTTTTTTTTTGAGACCGAGTCTCGCTCTTGTCACCCAGGCTGGAGTGCAGTGGCGTGATCTCAGCTCACTGCAACCTCCGTCTCCTGGGTTCAAGCAATTCTCCTACCTCAGCCTCCCGAGTACCTAGGATTACAGGCACCCGTCACCACACCCAGCTAATTTTTGCATTTTTAGTAGACATGGGGTTTCACCACATTGGCCAGGCTGGTCTTGAACTCCTGACCTCAGGTGATCCACCCGCCTCAGCCTCCCAAAGTGCTGGGATTACAGGCATGAGCCACTGCCTGGCCATCTCCTGCTTTTTTAAAGAGAGAGTCTTGCTCTGTCACCCAGGCTGGAGTGCAGTGGTATGATCATGACTCACTGCAGCCTCAACCTCCCAGGCTCAAGCAATCCTCCTACCTCAGCCTCCTGAGTATCTGGGACTACAAATACGTGCCAACATGCCTGGCTAATTTTTGTGTTTTTTGTAGAGATGGGGTTTTGCCATGTTGCCCAGGCTGGTCTCAAAATCTTGATCTCAAGCAATCCACGTGCCACAACCTCCCAAAGTGCTGGGATTACAGGCATGAACCACTGTGCCTGGCCCTCTCCCACTCTTAATGGCACTTACAGTTCAAAAAAAAAAAAATCTGCTAATTAGCAAAAAGTAAAGATTTTCTTACTGGCACATTCAATCTCGACAGGAGACAGCGGTGTGCTCATTGCTAAATAGGAAGCGTGTAATCCGAGAAGCAGGCCCAGATTCCTCTCTGTGTCTATCAGAGGTGAGGAGAGACTCCCCAGATCTGGTATGGTGACGCCTTCTTGGTCAGGCTGGAAAAATAAATTTAATCATCAATCTGAGGAAACAGAATTAATTAAAAACATAAAACCAAAAGGACAGCTCTCTCCTGCAGCTGTACCGCACGTGAGCCCAGGGGTGCTCTGGGCGTTCTGCCCCTCCATCCTGTAATGAGTTGGTGCTGCTGTGCCCAAGTAACAGCAGATACCATATAAACCCACATGCCCTATAAAGCAGGCAGCAACCGCACAGCCCTACTGTAGAAAAACTAAACCACAGATACATGATTTGGCTAGAATATTCCTTAGGAATCAGTTTCCAAAGTGACTGTACACCATGCTTCAGAAAGTATAATGAATTGTTACATGCATAAAGAACCCACTGGGCAACAAAACTATGACAAGTATTCGATGACAAGTATTAGTGGACTGTGACCACACATGTAGAGGAAATGAAATTTATTCTAACAAAAATCAAACTCTGAAAAAAGCAAGAGTTCAACTTTTTCAGTCACAGAAGATATTTACAGCAAAGTTAATTCTCCCCTTCATAAACTGTTTTAAGCCCTGCCCTAATGGCATTTAATACATCTTATTACTTGTCGATACCTAGTAAGCTAATCCCAATATATAAATTCTATGTGTTCGTGAATACATAGGAAGGACATATTTCTATTGTAAAGAATTACACTTCTACATAGTTCTTCCCAAAAAATACATACCTCAAGATTATAAGCCATTCCAAATTTCTACATAAGACCAAAGTTTAACCTCTTTTCTTGTGGAACACTGCCTATATTTCTCACAAATTGATCATTTAAAAAACAATCTTTCAAGACCAGTACATCACAGATCTTAACATGAATAAATGTAAATTCATTTATGACAAAACTTCTAAAGGATCTTTATATTTATCCCTAATGCCCCGCAAAAGACCCAGATATCAGTACTTCTAGATCCAAATATTCCTATCACAAACACACAGAGGGTATCCCCTGCCATCCTCTGCATCACTCAAGGCATACAGCCTCACCTCCAAATACTGGCCAACACAAAATGCGTGCATGGATTCCCGGGTGTCTTCAAACTGCAAAGCAGCTTCCAAAGCTACCACTGGGTCTTCCCCTGCAAACTGAGCTGAAACAAAAAGGGAAAAAGCAACATGAGTTCAATTCAGCTTGCCTGAAGAGCTACAGGAGAAATAGTGAGTAGGAAATAAGTTAGGCTCTTAACTCAAAAGTGAGGGTTACCAGAATATAATGACCTCCCACTGTCTCCCAGGGTTGCCTGGGCCAACTCGGAACTTGAAATGAGTTCCAAGTATTAAAACAAAAGATACATAATGAAAGGAAATTCTTCGAATGTGCTGAATTTGTTGATAAGACAGACACCAAAGCCACAGATACATTAAAATATGCGGGGGCTGGCACAAAACTAAAGGAATCATTTATAAGCCAAATACTCTGCTTAAAATGATACAGGCTGTAACTTTTAACCAGGAAATAACAAGTGTAATCTTACCAAGAATACTATTTTCTGTTAACGACTGTGTCTGGAAGTCCTTTATATCATACACTTTCCCGTCAATCACAGTCTAGAAGCCTCCATCGTTATTATGGTTCTCCAAATCAGCTATGCGTACAAGTGTCACTTTCTCATTATTTCTACAGTTCTGACCTGTAAAAAATGACTCTGTATATACAGAAACCAGAATCAGTCCATTGATCAATCAACAGGTAAAATGAAAAGAACAAACTGTGTGAAAGAACTACAAGCAGAAATAAACAAATCCACAATCACAATGGGAGAAATACATACCTAGCTCTGAAACTAATACCACACATACAAATTCTGTTAAATATAGAATGCTTTAAAAAAAAGTCTAGGCAGCATGAATACCAAATCGGGCCATGCCAGGCCATAGAGTAAATCTCAACAGATTTCAAAGAAATAAACTTACAGAGCATGTGTGCTGACTACAATGCAGTTAAATTACAAATAGGTTTTCAAAAATTCATTCAAAATAAAATAAAAATGACTCTGTATACACAGAAAATAAAAATATTCATCCACATATTTGAAAATTACAAGATACACTTATAAGTAACCCAAAATTCTAAGAAAAAATGACTATGAAAATTAGAAAATGTGTTCAGTTAATAATCAAAATACTGCAGATCGAAATTGGTGACATACAACTAAATGCATGCTTGAGGGCATTTATGCCTTTAAATGTATATATTTACACATTAAAGGGGGAAAAAGCTAAAAAAGAAAAGAAACACCAAATCAATAAAAGTCTGTTAGTTCATAAAAATACTCAAAAAAAAGAAAACCTGAGTGGTGGTCACCTATGCAAGTGCTAGGATACCAACTCAATATTATGAAAAATAGTTAAAGGGAGGTGGCAGTTCAAGAAGTCAAGCTTAGATTATGTCCTTGCTGTACAAATTGTACCTCCTGCTAACCAGACAGCAGAGGGCAAGGTTGGTAGGGGATTTTATAGAGGATACGCAACACATGAATTCCCTGGTCTAGCTTCACAGAACTAAAGCGGGGAGCCACCGAGCATTACAGGCCTCCTGAGCCAACAGAAAGCATGCAGCATGACCCCAGACATAACACCGCCCCAACGAGACTGAATTCAAATCCAACCAAACCTCTAGATCTAACCAGCAGATTAATGTAACTAACAGAAGAACATGTTGGTCTAGAATAAGAGAATGCAATCAACCAAGTTCAGAAAATGTGAAGTTCTCCAAAATAACCAACCTGCTTCTTTGAAAAAGAAAACGGTATGATCAGAGACAGGGAGAAGAGGGCCTGGAGCCATGTTGTTTGGGGAAAGAGACTAGAAGCATATGTCAAGCAATGCCAATACGCAGAACATGCTCAGGTCTTAATTCAAAATTACCACCTAAAAAAGGCATTTTTGAGATAGTCCAGGAAAATGTAACATGGACTGCATGTTAGATTAAGGAATCACTGTTAATCTTATAGACAGGATAATGATATTGTAGGGTTTTTTTAAAATCCTTATCATTAAGAGGTAAAATACCTTAAAATGTTTTAAAGACAGAGTTATGCTTTAAAATAATCCAATCAGCCGGGCGCGGTGGCTCATGCCTATAATCCCAGCACTTTGGGAGGCCGAGGCGGGCAGATCATGAAGTCAGGAGATCGAGACCATCCTGGCTAACACAGTGAAACCCCATCTCGTACCATGCCATATTACTGCATTTAACAGGTATGATGAAGCAACTGAACAGGCTATTTTTCCATTTCCATTGCATTTCAACAGAGCCCATTAAAAAGTAGTATAAATGGCCCTTAAATACTAATATATTTTAAAATGCTCAAACTATATCGGGGTCACCACTTTGTGCTTTAGCAGGCAAAATCCCAAAAGCCCACACACAAGGCTGGGAGACCAGCATCCCTATTGGTGGTGAGAGAAATCAAGATGTACAGGAGCAATCTGGTGACAACCAGCCCACACGAGGTCCATCCCCACCTGTGCATGTGCACAGGCACACACGCGTGCACACATGGAGGACACGTGTTCCAGGCCAGGCCTTGCAGTACTATTTGTGTTTTCTGTTGTTGTTGTTTGAGATGGAGTTTCACTCTTGTTGCCCACCCTGGAGTGCAGTGGCGCGATCTCGGCTCACTGCAACCTCTGCCTCCCAGGTTCAAGCGATTCTCCTGCCTCAGCCTCCCAAGTAGCTGGGATTACAGGCACCCGTCACCACGCCCTGCTAATTTTTGTATTTTTTAGTAGAGACGGGGTTTCTCCAAGTTGGCCAGGCTGATCTCAAACTCCCAACCTCAGGTGATCCACCCACCTCGACCTCCCAAAGTGCTGGGATTACAGGCGTGAGCCACTACACCCGACCCTCAGCACTATTTGTATAGCAACATTGTGGCAATAAGCCCAAGTGTCCACCAATAAGAGACTCACTAAAGAAAGACAGATAAAAGACACATCCACACACTGAAGACTAAGCTGATTTATAAAAACAAAGAGGGACACTCTGATAAGGTACTCCAGTATATATGGTTAGTTAAAAAAAAAAAACAAAAAACAAGCAACACAAGTAATGAAGCATGCTACCACGAACGTACTCATGCCAGAGAACAAGGAGGTTACAGAGGAGACTGGAAAGTCAGAGGGAGCAGGTGGGAAAATGGGTGGAAGGGGTGGGCAGGGGAAGCGACAGTGTGTCTCTGCCTAGGTTTGATTTTTGAACCATGTGACTGTATTTTTTTTTTTTAATGACTGTAAAACAAAATAAATACTCTTTATACTAGAAATAAAATGTTAGAAAAATCTGGATTCAAAACTAGGATTACTGTTCTGCACTGGCAAAGTTCACTACCATTCCCAAAGGCAGTTTTCTCATTGACATAATGAGATACAACAGCGTGCATGAGGTCCTCAGCGGGCCTGCACCCTACAGGTGCTCCACACATGCAAATCACTACCATTACTATTACATAAGAGATATAATACATAATTATACTGTCACTACTATAACCAGCATGACATACTAAGACAGCCTGCGTTCAGAGTATGAAGAAGGCTGTGGAACCCCCTGCAGAAGGTGGGAGGGCCTGGGGCTGTGGATAAAGGGGAGCTCTCTGGGGCTGTGCCACCTGAACCTGGAACCCGGGCCCCCAGGTTGGGTCGCCAGGCCTGTGCGCCTCAGCTTGCTCATCACTCACTCTCAACACGGATAACACCTTCAACTGCAAACACGTTTAAAAACCACAGGCCAGCTCCCCCTACCAATACCAGAAAAAACAAGTCTCCACACGGGCCCAGGATGAGAACCTACAAGTGGTACTAGCTACAAAACACATGGAGAACACGGTTCTTGCACACACCTTATGAGACGTCGGAGAGCTACACAGAGGAGGCATCTACAGGGTGTAGCCAGACGGTCTAAATGGGCCATGACAACAACCGCCATTTGTTGCAGATCAATGGCAAGCCTGTTGTCTTGTGGAAGGGTGAGGTACCTCAGGAAACTCTCACTGGGGCTCAGAGGACCAGACAAAAGCTAGAAAGGAAAAGTAAACAAAAATTCAGAAATGGTGGGAAAAACTAAAGTAACACAGTTTTTTACCCACGCTTTATATTTTGGTATTGACTCATTTGACCCATCAAATGACAATGTTGATGATACAGTTATACTATACGTCTATATATTTATGCAGCATATAAACTGTATAAATCTCTAAATCTGCTGTATACATGTACACAACATTGACTGTGCATGTATACATTTATGATACCATAGGTAAGTTGAATCCACACAGATTACTAACATGACCAAACCACTCTACAAGCCTAGGACCCCTGGAGAAAGGCAGAACCACCTCTGTGGGAACCCAGCACAGCATCTCAAGCTGGCCTTGAAATCTAAAACCAAAACCTTTATTTTAATCTAAATGTTGCCCACTCTGGAGAACACCTACTTTCATTTGCAAATTAAATCACAGTTCTAATTCTTCTAAAGGCAGAAGACCCCTATTATCATTAGTTTAAAGACTGCCAAATAATAGGCTGGGCATGGTGGCTCACACCTGTAATCCCAGCACTTTGGGAGGCCGAGGCAGGCAGATCACAAGGTTAGGACTTTGAGACCACCCTGGCCAACATGGTGAAACCTCATCTCTATTAAAAATATAAAACTGAGCTGGGCATGGTGGCGGGTACCTATAATCCCAGCTACTCGAGAGGCTCAGACAGGAGAATCATTCGAACTAGGGAGGCGGCAGTTGCAGTGAGCCGAGAACGTGCACTGCACTCCAGCCTGGGAAACAGGCAGAGACTCCGAAGACGGGAAGGGACGGGATGGGACGGGATAGGACAGGACGGGATGGGATAGGACAGGACGGGAAGGGAGAAAGAAAGCAATGTACCCGCAAAACAAACAAACAAACAAAAAAACAGTCTCGGGGACCTATGGGACTATAACAACTCCGGTCACTGAACTCACGAAGGGACAGGAGAAAGAAGGTGGGGCTGAAACTGTACTCCATGAAGTGATGGCTTACAAGTTCCCAAATTTGGCAAGAGACATAAATCTACAGATCTAACGTAAGCAAACCCTAAACAGGATGAACCCAAAGAAATCCAAACTAAGACATATAATAATCAAACTCCAAAAAACAAAAGACAAAACATTTCAAAAGCCACTAAACAAAAACAGTGCCGTAACTATCGTGGATTAACAAGTCAAATGACAGCGAATTTCTCATCAGAAACCATGGAGCCCAGCTGAAAGTACAAAATATTTTTCAAGCGATGAAAAGAACCATTAACCCAGAATTCTTATATCCAGCAAAAATGTCCTTCAGGAATGAAAAGGAAAGCAAAACATTCTCAGAGGAAGTGAAACAGAATTTGTCACCAGAAGACCCACACCAAAAGAAAGGCTAATGGAAGTTCTCTAAGCAGAATGGCAACCATCAAAGAAGAAAACCCTGGAACTTCTGGAAGGAGGAGATGACAAGCACACCAACGCATAAATACAATAGACTTTTCCCTCACCTCTTGACTTTGCTAAATTACGTCTGAAGGTTCAACCAAAAATTATAACATTGTCATATGTGGTTATCAATGTAAGTAAATGAAATATTTAAGGCAAGTATATTATGAACAGAAGAACATAAAGGAACATCAAGGGAGGTAGTTTCTATATCCCTGAAGCTGGTAAATGACAACATCAGGTAAAATCTGATAAGTGTTCATACATACACAGGCTGAGTGTCCCTTATAAAATGCTCAGGAGCACAAGTGTTCCAAATTTCAGATTTTTATCAGATTTAGGAATATCTGCATATAAATAATGAGATATTTTGGGGATAGGACCCAAGTCTAAATACATTCATTTATGTTTTATATATAACTTATACACAGAGCCTGAAGGTAATTTTATATAGCATGCTTAGTAATTTTGTGCATGAAACAAAGTTCATGCTAAGTACTTATGAATGGAATTTTCAATTTGGGGGCGTCATGCTGGAGTGCCATAAAGTTTCGAATTTTGGGGCATTTCAGATTTTGGATTTTGGGTTTACAGATGCTCAATCTGTATGCAATATATTACCTAGAAAAGCCACTAAAAAAGCTATACAAAAAGATACACTCTAAAACACTACAGATGAAATAGAATGCTAAAAATGGTCAAGTAAACCACAGAGAGCCAGGAAGAACCAAACCGAAAAAATGAAAAACAGAAGAAATAGAAAATGCAAAACAAAATGGCAGTGTTAAGCCTCAATTTATCAATGACATTAAATTAAATGTAAACAATCTAAATACATCAATTAAAAGACACTAGGAGAGTAGACTAGAGAACATGATCCAACTATATGTTGTCCATAAGAAAGTGACTTCAAACAGGCAAACTGAAAATAGAAGTATAGAAAAAAAAAGATCATGCAAACATTACTGAAAGGACAGCAGGAGTTGGCTATATTTATAACAAATAAAGTAAACTTCAGAACAAAGATAATTACCAGGAGGGCCGGGCACAGTGGCTCACGCCTGTACTCCTAGCACTTTGGGAGGCCAAGGTGGGTGGATCTCAGGAGTTTGAGACCAGCCTGGCCAATATGGCAAAACCCCATCTCTACTAAAAATACAAAAATTAGCTGGGTGTGATGGCAGAAGCCTATAATCCCAGCTTCTCAGGAGGCTGAGGCAGGAGAATCACTTGAACCTGGTAGGGTCGGAAGTTGCAGTGAGCTGAGATCATGCCACTTCACTCCTGCCTGGGCAAAAGGAGCGAAACTCCGTCTCAAAAAAAAAAAAAAGATAATTACCAGGAACCAACGGCAACATTACAAAATGAGAACTTGGTCAATCCACCATTAAGACACAGCAATTCGAAACGTGCAGACACCAAACAAACAAAAAAACAATGAATAGAACCGAAAGGAGAAAAAGACATTTATACTTTTATAGTTGGAGACCTCAAAATCTCTCTCTACAGCTGATAAAATTAGGAGACAGAAAAGCTGCCAGGATATAGAACGCAACATCACCATCCATCAACTAGAGCCAATCAAAATTTATAGAACACTCCAGCCAATAATAACAGAATACATAATCTTTTCAAGTATCCACAAAACAAATACTAAGTTAGAACATATCCTGAGGCATAAAACAAACCTAACAAATTTTTTGAAATTAAAATCACACAGCATATGTTCCCTCAAACAATGGGAACAAATCTGAAGTCAACAAGAGAACAATTACAGGAAAATTGCCTAACTCTCAGAAACTAAACAATAAACTTCTACATAACCCATGGATCAAAGAGAAAGTCTCAAGGGAAATTTTAAAATATATTGTGAACTGAGAGAAAATGCAAGTACAATACATCAAAATGTATGGGAAAGAGCTACAGTGGGTGACGAGAGACAAATTTACAGCACTAAATGAATGGTACATTAGAAACTTGGAAACAAATCAATAATATAAGTGCCCACGTTGACAACCTAAAAGAAAATTAAAAATAGCAAAATCAACCCAAAAATAAGCAGAAAGGAAGAAATAATTAAGGTAAGAGTAGAAACAAAGTGAAAACAGAAAAACAATAAACAGTAAAGCAAAAAGCTGGTTCTTTGAAAAGATCAATAAAACTGACACACCTCTCTAAGCAAGACTGACAAAAAAAAAAAAAAGACATAAATTACCCAACATTAGTGATGAAACAGGCTCTAAAGATATGAAAAAAGATAATTAGGAATTACTAGGAACAACTCTACACACATAACTTTGACAACTTGGGCAAAATAGACTTATTCCTCAAATAATGCAAATTACCACAACTCACCAAATATAAAATAGATCATTTGAATAGCTCTACCACTATCAAGAAAACTGAATTCATAATTCAAAGAATCCCAAAAAAAAAAAGAAATTACCAGATCCAAATGAACTCACTGGATAATTCCATCAAACATTAAAAAAGAATTAACACAGACTCAAAACAATCTCTTCTGGAAACTAGAAAAGGAAAAACTTCCCAATTCATATTAAGAAGCTAATATTAGAGCCAATATTAGCATTTTAAGAAGCTAATATTAGAGCCAATATTAGCATTTTAAGAAGCTAATATTAGAGCTAATATTAGCATTTTAAGAAGCTAATATTAGGTACCGTACCTAAAGACAGTACAAACTACAGAACAATATACCTTAATATATATATAGACACAAAAATATTCAGTGAATTATTAGCAAGTAGAAGTAAACAATATATAAAAAGAATTCCACATCATCGCCAAGTAGTTTCATTCCAGGAATGCAAAGCTGGTTCAACAGTCAAATATCAATGTAACCCACCCTATTAATAGACTAAAGAACAAAAATCACATAATTACATATCAATTGATTTAGAAAAAGCAAATGACAAAATTCAATACTCGTGAATGATAAAAATTCTCAGAAAATAGCAACAAATGGGAACTTCATCATCTTGATAAACAGCATTTACAACACCTTAAGCTAAAACCTATGCCAACAAGAATGTCAGAAAGGGTCCTCCCAGACCTATTTATACAGCAGAGAGAATCATTAAGAATGATTTAGATAGTTACTAAGAGTTTACTCTCCTAAGAGATTACAACACCCAATGGCCAGCAAGCCCTTTTCATTAGACAAAAAGAAAAGCTGTGATCTGTCAACACTCTCAGAAGGTTCACTGTGAAATGTGCACTTCTGAACTCCTGCTGAGGGCCTACACGCTGCAATGTTGAGAAGCAAGTGTCCAGAGGTCTCCTTGGAAACATTGCAAAAAAAATGTGAGGGACTGATGGATGAATAGAAGGATGAAAAGGTGGAGAGAACGGTGATAAAGCACGTGGGATGATGCCAGCGGCACAATCTTAGGTGGTGAATATGTGGGTGCGCGCTGTAAAATTCTTTCAACTTTTCTGTATATATTTTTTTCATAATAAAATGTTGGAAAAAATAAACCTGTGAAAAAGGAAGCTTTAGTCAAACATATCTAAGCAAAAGAAAAAACAAATTCTAAATTCCTATGGCTCAAATTAACGTGTTTTTCTTTTTAGGCTGAGATGGAAGAGTAAAAAAACAGAAAAAGAAATGAAAGGAATAGGAGCTATTCTAACAGCTACAAATTCCACCTGCAGTTTGATTAAAGATGGCGTGGCTCAAGAATATGCTTTGAATCCAAGCCCCTTCAAGGCTGCCAGGTACAGAGTCGGTTCTGCAAAAGCTCTGTACCTGTGAACAAGCAGAGCTTCCAAATAAACCGATTAAAGCTGCCCTGAGTCAATAAGCCGGGCTTTAATCTGAGCAAGAAAGGTACATTTTTAGTCTAGTTACCCACCCATAACTGTAGGTACTTTGATACCTAGGTGAGGGGAAACATGGAGAAAGGCAAAATAACAGATTTTTAAAATCACAACAAATCTTTATCAAACATTTGTGCCAGGCACTGACTTAAGAGCTTCAAATGCATTATTTCATGTCATTTGCACAGCAACTCTCTGAGTAAGTACTTTCACTTATTTTATATATAATTTTAATTATTTACATTATATTATACTTATTCCTTTTTTTTGTTTGTTTTTTTTGTTTTGAGATGGAGTCTCACCCTGTCACCCAGGCTACAGTGGTGGTGCAATCTTGGCTCACTGCAAGCTCCGCCTCCTGGGTTCATGCCATTCTCCTGCCTGAGCTTCCCGAGTAGCTGGGACTACAGGTGCCCACCACCACGCCCAGCTAATTTTTTTGTATCTTTAGTAGAGACAGGGTTTCACCACGTTAGCCAGGATGGTCTCGATCTCCTGACCTCATGATCCGCCCGTCTCAGCCTCCCAAAGTGCTGGGATTACAGGCATGAGCCTCTGCACCCGGCCACTTATTCCTATTTTATACATGAGAGGCCCAAGGTGAGACAAAGTGATTTGTGTAGAGTCAGAGATAAAGCCAAAATTGATACCCAGACAGACTGAAAAACTTCTCTGTCAGAAAATCTAGAAATGGTAAAGGGAGATCTTCAAACTGAAGGAACATGATAACACAAGGTAGCTGGGACAGAAACAAAACCTTAAGGGCCCATAATGGTAAAATGAAAGTTAACATAAAAAACTTTTTTTTGGCCAGCCATGGTGGCTCTTTGGGAGGCCGAGGTGGGTGGATCACCTGAGGTCAGGAGTTCGAAACCAGCCTGACCAACATGACGAAACCATGTCTCTACTCAAAAATACAAAATTAGCCAGGTGTGGTGGCGTATGCCTGTAATCCCAGCTACTCGGGAGGCTGAGCCAGAATCGTTTGAACCCAGGAGGCAGAGGCTGCAGTGAGCCAAGATCATGCCATTGCACTCCATCCTGGCAGCCTGGGCAACAAGACCAGAACTCCGCCTCAAAAAAAAAAAAAAAAAGAGGCCAGGTGTGGTGGCTCACACCTATAATCCTATAATCCCAGCACTTAAGGGTGGCTGAGGCACGTGGATCACCTAAGGTCAGGAGTTCGAGGCGAACCTGGCAAACATAGTGAAACCCTGTCTCTACTAAAAATACAAAAACGTTAGCCAGGCACGGTGGTGTGTGTCTGTAATCCCAGCTACTAGGGAGGCTGAGGCAGGAGACTCGCTTGAACCTGGGTGGCGGAGGTTGCAGTGAGCTGAGATTGTGCCATTACACTCCAGTCTGGGCAACAACAGCAAAACTCCGTCTCAAAAAAAAAAAAGACTTTTTTTTCTCTTTTCAAATTTGAGGGGAAAAAATGTAATTGCCTATTTAAAGCAAAAACAAAAACATCATATTGTGGGGTTTATACCATGTTTCACTTGGACATGACACAGCAACACTACCAACCAAGAACATGTCAGAAGCAGGAAGCTACAGTCAGAGCACTGCCCCGCGGCTCAGGCAGTGTAATACCATTTGAGAGTGGGCAGTGACAAGTGAAAGATGTAACTGAAAACGCCAGAGATGATAGATTTAAACCCAAGTAGTCTAAAGATTCCAAATAAAAAACAGAGGTTGTCAGGGTGAATAAAGAAGCAAGACCTAATTAAATGATACCTGAAAGAAATCTACTTTACACATACACAAAGTTTGAAAGTGAAAAAAGCTAAACCTGGCAAACACACCACGCAAACACCAAATCAGAAGAAAGGAGAGTAGTCAGACCAAGGTGACTTCACAACAAAGAATGTCACCGGAGATTAAGGGGGTCAAATTTATGAATATGGCGTAAAAATCCTAAAAGTGCATGCACCTTATAACATTCTCAAATACATGAAGCAAAACCTGCAGAGCTGAAAGAAAATAATCCATAATTAGCATGAGAGATTTCAATTCTCCTCAGAAGAAAGAGGAACTAAGCAGTGAAATTGCTCTTCATGCCTCCCCAGCACAATGGAGATACTCCTGGGAAATAAAGCCAGTCACTGGGGCTGATCTCCCACAACACTGAGACTGGCTTCTCTGTAAATAAATGACTGGTATTTGCTAGGAGAAGTGTCCTTATCTATGAAATGTTTTTAGCAAGATGTGGTTAGTTTAGGATTGTGTTTGGTAAACATACCTAAAATCCATGGACTTATGGGACATGGCTCCCTGGAAAAGGTTCCCTAAGGTGTATAAACTATCTGACTACAAAACGGGAACACTGCACATCCTTAATGCTCCTTGTGCAGTGAGATGACGACACACCTCAGTGAGAGGACCACACGCCTCAGTGAGAGGTCTCATCTCGCAGGCCGGGCTCAAAGAGGATGGACCTGCGGGGGTTGCACAGACTCTCCCACATCTCTCCCCACTTTGCCTGAGCACACAAGTGAGGATATTACTTGTATCTTTAAAGTTACTAAGTAATCAGCTACGGGTAACATCTCTGAGATTCATGTCAAACTAATGTGGTAAGCCAACCTTGTGTGTTAGTTCAACTCCTCTCCTAACAGTGACTAGAACAAGCAGGCAGAAAACTATTTCAAGTCAAGGATACCTGAACACTATCAACTTGATCTCACTAAGCTTTACAGAGCAGCAAAATACACTTTTTTTTTTTTTTTGAGATGTAGTCTTGCTTTGTCACCCAGACTAAAGTGCAGGGGTGCAATCGAGATTACAGGCACCCACCACCACACCCAGCTAATTTTTGTATGTTTCGTAGAGACAGGGTTTCACTATGTTGGCCAGGCTGGTCTCGAACTCCTGACCTCAAGTAATCCACCCACTTCAGCCTCCCAAAGTGTTGAGATTACAGGCAGGAGCCACTGCACCCAGCCACATTCTTATTACATGTGCATGAAACATTCCACAGAATGCACCATATTCTGGGGCTTCAGACAAGCCTCAGCATTGAAATCACAGAATATGTTCTCTGACTACAACTAATTTAGAAATTGTTAACAGGAGATATTTGAAAATCCCCAAATATTTGGAAATGAAATAACACATTTCCAAATAATAAGTGAGTAAAAGAAGAAATTAAAAGGGAAATTAGAAAATATTTTCAACTGAATGAAGATGAAAATGAATAAACATTTCCAAATTTGTGAAATGTGGCTAAACAATGCTTAGAGGGAAATTTATATTATAGTCTTGAACACTTGTTAGAAAAGACAAAAAATCTGAAGTCAATGATCTAAGCCTTTACCTTAAGAAACTAGAAGAGACAGAAGAACAAATGGAACCCAAAGCCAGCAGAAAAAAGGAAATAATAAAGAGTAAAGCAGAAATCAATGAAAAAGAAAACAAACAAAATCAATAAAACCAACAACTGGTTCTTTGAAAAAACTCAAACTGATGACTTCTAGGAAGACTGATCAAAATCGAAAGAGAGAAAATACAAGGCACATTTCAGCAAATTTCTGGATAACAGGTAGTATATGCTGGTACTTACTACATGCAAAATAATAGCATACGCACTTTGTCTGGCCTACTGTACTGATCCCATAATAACCTATGAGGTAGGTACTACTACTAACCCCAAATACGAATTTTTTTTTAAGAGACAGGGTCTCACCCTGTCACCCAGGCTGGAGTGTAGAGGCACAATCATAGATCACTGCAGCTTCAAACTGATGGCCTCAAGCAATTCTCTCACCTCAGCGTCCCAAAGTGCTGGGATTACAGGCGTGAGCTACCATGCATGGTGTCACTAATTATTTTTATATATGTACATTTACATATGTATGTCCATGCCAGGAAAGAAAAGCCTGAATATCCACTCTGAAGGGATAATAGTGGCTAACTCTTAGAGGAAAACTGAAATTGGGGTGGGCAGCCAGGTGAAATTTCTGCTTTTATAATCCATACATTTTTATAAGAAAACATTTATTTGATGTATATTTTTAATTGGAACGAAAATGCATCAGACATTTTAAAAAATTCAATTACACACAAAAAAGTAAGCAAAGAATAAATATATGGGTTTTACTGGGTTGGAGAAAGGGAAGAGATTATGAAAGTCCATCCATGATAAGGAACTCCTATAACCCAAAACAAAAAACTCAATTAAAAAATGGAATTAGCTGGGTGTGGTGGTGCCCGCCTGTAGTCCCAGCTACTCGGGAGGCTGAGGCAGGAGAATGGCGTGAACCCGGAAGGTGGAGGTTGCAGTAAGCCAAGATCATGCCACTGTACTCCAGCCTGGGTGACAGAACAAGACTCTGTCTCCAAAAAAAAAAAAAAAAAAAAGAAAGGGCAAAAGGGCCAGGCACAGTGGCTCATACCTGTAATACAGCACTTTAGGAGGCCAAGGTGGGTGGATCACCTGAAGTCAGGAGTTCAAGACCAGCCTGGCTAACATAGTGAAACTTCGTCTCTACTAAAAATACAAAAAATTAGCCAGGCACAGTGGCGGACACCTGTAATCCCAGCTACTCGGGAGGATGAGGCAGGAGAATCACTTGAACCTGGGAGGTGGAGGTTGCAATGAGCCAAGATTGCACCACTGCACTCCAGCGTGGGCAACAAGAGCCAAACTCCATCTCCCCAAAAAAAAAAAAAAACAAAAAACGGGCAAAGGATTTGAATAGACATTTCTCCAGTGAATGTATACAAATGGCCAATAAGCATGTAAAAAGATGCTCAGCATGACTAATCAACAGGGAAATACAAATCAAAACAATGAGATGCTGTACCTACTCACACAAATTAGGATGGCTATCATCAGAAAACAAAAAGTGTTGGTGAGGGTGTGGAGAAATTGGAACCTTAGTATACTGCTGCAAGAATGTAAAACAATGTAGCCACTGTGGAAAACAGTTTACTGCTTCCTCAAAAAGTTACACATAGTGCCAGGTGCGATGGCTCACATCCGAAATCTCAGCAACTCAGGAGTCTGAGGCAGGAAGATCCTGTGAAGCCAGGAGTATAAGACCGGCCTGGGCAACACAGTGAGATTCTGTCTCTAATTAGTCAAGCGTGATGGCTGGGCAACAATGTCAATATATTTAATGCCAATGAACTGTACACATAAAACTGGTTAAAACGGTAAGTTACATGGTATGTATATTTTACCACAATATTTAAATTTTTTAATTAGTTTTTAAAAAATTGTTACCAAAAAAATACTAAGAATCCATTCAAGTTATTTAGAAAGGGAGTGTCAGATCAACCTTTCCAAAGTGCCAAAATTCGCAAGATCACCTGGTTGCTTGCCCCATACCCAGCTGTCCAGAATTGACTTGGCCCTATATATAGGTGCAGGAGTTTCTTCTTCATCTTTTTTCTCTTTGTCATTCAGATCTTTCTTTGTCCCACTTGGTTCGACACTATCATCTGCAGAATTAAAAATTTTTTAATCTGTCACCGCTTTTCAGAATGTCATACCGTTAGCCTCTGCAAATGTCCCTCCCCGAAAAGTTACAACACACATGATTAACTGAATGCTTGACAACTTAAAAATAAAATACATCAATCATACCTGTAACAGATCCAGTATAATTTTCATAAAGAAACCAATATATTGGCCGGGCGTGGTGGCTCATGCCTGTAATCCCAGCACTTTGGGAAGCCATGGCGGGTGGATCAGGAGGTCAGGATATCGACACCATCCTGGCTAACACGGTGAAACCTCGTCTCTACTAAAAATACAAAAAATTAGCTGAGCATGATGGCAGGCGCCTGTATTCCCAGCTACTCGGGAGGCTGAGGCAGGAGAATGGTGTGAACCTGGGAGGCAGAGCTTGCAGTGTGCTGAGATCATGCCACTGCACTCCAGCCTGGGTGACAGAGCGAGACTCCATCTCAAAAAAAAAAAAAAAGAAACCAATACAACAAATTATTTAAAGGATGTCTTCCAAAATGACATTCCATCTACTTCCTAGTACATTTCTTAACTGAGAAACTTAAGTCTTTCATATTTACCTACTTCAATTTCACACCAATTGCTTTTATCCAGTGAGTCCCAGTGCTTGTGTATCCATGGGAAAAGGGAGGGTGTAGAACAAGAGTATGATTCAAAAATCTTTTAACTCTTTACAAGGCCCTACTCCACTGCCAACTGGGAAGCACTGCTATGCAGGGGCACTGTCACTGCTGGCATAATTCAAGAGCACTGGGACACAAAGGAAAAGCTGAGAAAAATCACTTTAGGCCACTGACAATGTCAAGTTTCAGTCAAAAACAACTGTCATAAAACTCCTTACACAGTAAGCGAAGAGAAGAGAGAACTAACCTTAACCTTGAAGTGTAAACACATTCCATCACAGAAGGCTGTGACTAAATGTCTAACAACATAATTAGAAAAATGTATCTCAATCGGGGAAAGACATGATATCCCATCCAGATTACAAATAATGACTATCTAAAAATCTCGAAGGAAACAGTTCCTCTGTTTATAACACTTCTGACACCAAATGTATGGACTTTTGCACCAAGCAATTCTCCAGTTCTCTGCGACACCCAGCTTTGTGTCCCACAGTGCAATTCAATTCTGAAACTAACTACCTAGAATTAGCACAGACCCCACAGGTTAATAACAAGAGAGAAAAGGTGAATGCTGAAAAAAATATCCAAAGAACTAATGGCTGAAAACTTCCTAGGTTCAGCAAATGACATAAACCCAGGCAGACTGAAGAATCTGCACAAAGCCCACACAAGATAAATCCAAAGGAAGCCATGACGAGGCACATCATAATCAACTGCTAAACACTAAGGACAAAACCTTTTGAAAAGTGCCACGGAAAGTAGATACAGAAGAATTTCTCGTGTGGCCTGAAATTAAGACTAAATATTACGTGCTGCCTTGACATTGGTAAAATCAAGAAGGCCTCAAATAGCCTAACCACAAGGTCTCCCCTGAGCTCTGCTCTCACGGATAAGATCCCAAAGCCAAACAACCTCCTTATCGCGGAAACCCGACCCCAGCCTGCTCATCCCTGCCGGCCCAGAGTTATTCAAACAAGCCAGTCACATCTTCCCATGGAAGCAAGGTCATCTCACCCTCCTGTTACTACAAAATGTGCCTCCCACAGCCCCTCGTGGTTCGCTCTGTTCCCAAGTGCAGCCCCCGTGTGGCATGCGGTGTCCCCCACCCCAGGGCTGTGAGCATGCGTGACTAATAAACTGCTATTTCATCTGTCCAGTGTCGGTGTCCTACGTTCAGCCATCCCATATCCCTAGGGCAGGAATCTTCTAGGGTTATAAACAGAACTTTAATCAACCTCTCCTTGGTTATTTTACTGGTTCCATGATACAGCTTTTTCTGTGCAAAAGATCTGAACAGAAACTCACAGAGGATACAAGAGTGGCAAAAAAGAACATGATATTCAGCATTGTTAGCCATTACAGAATTGCAAATTAAAACCACAATGAGATCCCACTAGACTTGTTAGAATGGCTCAACTAAAAATCACTGATAACACCAAGTGCTAACAAAGACACAGAGCAACAGAAACGTGACAGATTGTCAGCGGGAATGCAAACTAAAACAGCCTCCAGTTTACCAAGGTAGACACCTCGAGTCACAGAATACAGAGTAGAACCCAGCCAGGAACACGGCTCAGGTGAGAACACAGGTGCTGGCTCTGAATGCCAGACTCTGCCGTGTGTGTGTGTGTGTGTGTGTGTGTGTGTGTGTGGTCACTAACCACAGCCCACAGGACAAACCCAGCCCACAGCCTTTTTGTGTATGGTCTGAACACAGAGAAAGTATTTTAGTTTTGTTGTTCTTTTGAGATGGAGTCTTGGCTCACCACAACCTCTGCCTCCCAGGCTCAAGCGATTCTCCCAGGTTCAAGTGATTCTCATGCCTCAACCTCCGAGGAGCTGGGATTACAGGGGTGCATCACCATGCCCGGCTAATTTTTTGTTTTCAGTAGAGATGGGGTTTCACCATGTTGGCCAGGCTGGTCTCGAACTCCTGACCTCAGGTGATCCGCCTGCCTCAGCCTCCAAAAGTGCTGGGATTACAGGTGTGAGCCACCACGCCCAGCCACCGTATTTTATAGTTTTTAATAATTGAAAAATAATCAAAAGAAAAACAGTATTTTGTGACTTGCAAACATTCTGTGGACTTCATCTTTTCGTGTCCATAAATAAAGTTTACAGAATGAACGTCCCCAGCCCGCTGACGTAGTATTGTCTGTGGCTACTCTGGCACTACAGCTGCAAGGTCCCATGGCTATGACAGAGACCATAGGGTCCATTGAGAGCTTAAAATATTTACTATCTGGCCCTTTACAGAAAGTAGGCCACCCCTACCCTACATCTGGCTATAAATTTTACAAATTTGACAAATTCTGAGACCCTGTCTCAGAAAATAAAATAAAATATTCATAGTCTTAATAATGGAAAACAAAAACATTTACTGAATGCCAAAACATCTCCCTAACAATCCCAATCAGTTGGGATCTACATAAAGAACAATTATGCTCTGCTTTCCAACCATGATTTTTAAAAGAACAAAAGACAAAAAAATTCATCAAATGTGGGCTGGGCATGGTGGCTCACACCTGTAAACCCAGCACTTTGGGAGGCCGAGGTGGGTTATGAGGTCAGGAGTTCAAGACCAGCCTGACCAAGATGGTGAAACTCCGTCTTTACTAAAAATTCAACAATTAGCTGGGCATGGTGGAGGGCGCCTGTAATCCTAGCTGAGTACTCAGGAGGCTGAGGCAGAGAACTGCTTGAACCCGAGAGGAAGGGGTTGCAGTGAGCCAAAATCATGCCGCTGCACCCCAGCCTGAGCGACAGAACAAGACTCCCTCTCGAGAGGAAAAAACAAAAAAAATTCATCAAATGTAATGAATAAAACATATACTTTGGATTTTGCCATGTACTTAGCTTTTCTTAGAGCACCTTTTAGAACTATTGTTTCACAGAAAACACTTTGGGAAACGTTTTAATTTATAAACAAATACTGGAGGGCTAGGAAGAAGAGGTTAAAACTTTTTAAAATATACAGAATGAATTACTGATACAGAAAAACAAAAAAAGGTTGCTGATTCCTGTCTTGGAAGACACTGTCATATGGACACTCTTAGCCTCAGCATCCAGAGGTCCAGAAAGGGAAAATTTCAAGTCAGAGAGAATTCTATATATACCACTTACTTGGAACATTCAGCCCTCAAAATCCCAACATCATGACCTCAGTTTCAACACAATTGTCCTTAGTCCTTATGTCACTGCTTTTGGTGCTGCCTGCTGTCAAGGCAGTGGAAGCCAGTGATGCAACTGCTCTCTCGTTAAAAGGTGTGGTTCTCAGTATTACAGGTGTTTGTACTTGCTTGCGGGTATACGCACGAAAGATAAAAATGAACAGATGTGACTTTGAAGGGCCTAATGAATGAAACCTCACCCTGAAAACCTTTGTGCTACTGAAACTAAATGTAAGCTTTGGTGTCTGAAAGTTTCCAAGAATTAGTAAGTAGGAGAGTTTTACTTTCTGAGTTGATTCCATGAAATGGGAACAAATTGGTACATAAATGGATTTTGCCCAGAATCCTAGGAAATCGCCACTGTTCAGTCGTAATCACTGCCTCCTAAATCACTGAGTCTGTTCTCTGTATTTTTATTAGACTTTTGTCATCTCCCAAATTCAGATATCCAATAGTCAGCCAAAAAGGGAAACTTTTATCTCTGGAAAGAAAAAAAATCATTTAGAAAAATGTATTCAGTGTATCTAATACTGAAATGGAGAAAAGACTTAATGTTAAAGAAAAAAAAAACACTATAGACATTGACATGGAAAAGAGATTTAATGTTAATAAAAACTTTATATTAACTGAGTAACACCTCCTGATGAGAAGTGCTATATTAAATATAAACCCATTATGTTGTTTAAAAAAAAAAAAACATGAAAATCAAAAGCACTAAACAGAGTGAAAGAAGCCAAGACACAGAAGAACCCGACTACATGATTCCATGTATGGAGTTCTAGAACAGGCGCAATTTGTCAATGCTGGAGAAACATCAGGCCAGCTATTGCCTCTGGGAAGAAGGGGCAGGACACCAGAGAACTTTCTGAGCAAGAGTCATGATAAAGATGTGGGTTACACGGGTTACATTTGTCAAAACTTGTGAAATGGTAAACTCAAAATAGATACATTTCATTATATATAAATTTTACCTGAAAGTCAAAAACAAAGTTGAACTAGAATCAATTACATACATGAGTGTCTAAGGAGCTAGGTGAGACAAACGGTGGATGGACAGACAGCAGGATGTGGAGCCAAATACGGTGGCAGAACATGGAGGTGGGTCTGCAGCCACTCACTGTACACGTCTGTCAGTTATTGTGTGTGTGTGTGTGTGTGTGTGTGTGTGTGAATATTTTCAAACAAATATAAAAAATAAATTAAAATAAAAACACAGGTAACTCTGCTTGACACTGAAACTGAAGAGGGAGACTAATACTTTTTCCCATGGTTTGTTTTGTGTTTTTTGTTTTTTTTTTTTTGAGATGGAGTCTCACTCTGTCACCCAGGCTGGAGTGCAGTAGCACAATATCTGCTCACTGCAACCTCCACCTCCCGGCTCCAAGCAATTCTCCTGCCGTGCCCTCCCAAGTAGCTGGGATTACAGGCGCCCGCCACTATGCCTGGCTAATTTTTGTATTTTTTAGTAGAGACGGGGTTTCACCATGTTGGCCAGGCTGGTCTCAAACTCCCAACCTCAAATGATCTGCCCGCCTCAGCCTCCCAAAGTGCTGGAATTACAGGCACGATCCACCGCGCCCGGTCCCCAAGTATTTTCAAGTGGACACCATCCCAATTCATTCCACAAAAGAAGAATAAATACTTGCCAGGCACGGTGGCTCACGCCTATAATCCCAGCACTTTGGGAGGCTGAGGCGGGCGGATCACGAGGTCAGGAGATTGAGACCATCCTGGCTAACACGGTGAAACCCTGTCTCTACTAAAAAATACAAAAAATTAGCCGGGCGTGGTGGTGGACACCTGTAGTCCCAGCTACTTGGGAGGCTGAGGCAGGAGAATGGCATGAACCCAGGAGGTGGAGCTTGCAGTGAGCTGAGATCGCGCCACTGCACTCCAGCCTCAGCGACAGAGCAAGACTCCTTCCCAAAAAAAAAAAAAAAGAAGAAGAAATACTTTCTTCAGACTAATGCTCTCCCAACTGAGCTATTTCAACTTAGAATAAATACTTTCTAAAGTGGTAGCTTTATCCACGTTGATGACTCTCAAGCAGGGGGACCAACGAACTTCAACAGTGGTTCTCAACCAAGGATCTTTTCAGATTCAACAAGTTTAGGGTGTATACAAGCATCCATTTTTTTAAACCTCAATGGGGACTCTGAAACACAGCCACTGTTATGAACAACCTAATGATAGTCCTATTGAGCATGCAAAACTACAACGCTAAATAAGATTGTTCAATGGCATTTCCTTGCAGGCCAAAGGCTTCCAATAAGTGTTTAATACACCCCCAAAGAACACCACAAATGCAGCAAGACGGTTTTGCAATAAAAATGCCTTCAATTCACGTAAAACAATAAAATCCGGGCAGCTTGTATTAACTACCATTTTAGACAACAATCTCCAAAGTAAAAAGCAAAACTTCAAAGAGTTAAGCTCAAAGCTCCTGTTCCTATAGCACATTACAAAATTTCTATAAAATGCATTTTATAATGGTCTTTACCAAATAAAAAACACTAGTTAAAGGCCCTTACCTTTTCCAGGAGGGAGCTATCCGTTCTGGGTTGATTCTGTTCCAGTGTATACAATTTCTCCATCTTTAACCATTTCATTCCACAGACCACAGAGCCCATCTCTTGTGAATGCAAGCTGGCAATGATAAACGAGATAAGCTCACACTCACACTGCAATTTTTAAAGAATGATATGGGAAAAAATCTCAATCCCCCTTATGTATTCGATCATTCAGTAATAAAATCAATGATTTACTGAATTAGTGACTTAATCATTTTACATTTCATGAAAGTCATCCAAGAAATATAAATGAAAAGGTGCATAATAGTATAAATACTATTCTACCTCTTATGTAACATACAAGAAAAATGACACGTGGTCAGGCGAGGTGGCTCATGCTTGTCATCCCAGCACTTTGGGAGGCCGAGCGGGGCACATCACGGGGGATCAGGAATTTGAGACCAGCCTGGCCAACACGGTGAAACGCCGTCCCAACTAAAAATACAAAAAATTAGCCAGGCGTGGTGGCGGGCGCCTATAATCCCAGCTACTCACGAAGCCGAGGCAAGAGAATTGCTTGAACCCAGGAGGCAGAGGTTGCAGTGAGCCAAGATCGCACCACAGCACTCAGCCTGAGTTGATAAGAGCGAGACTCGGTGTTAAAAAAAAAAAAAAAGAAAAAAAAGACACACACACAAACACACACACGTGCATATGCTCTGAAAAGATAAACCGAAAGCAAGTACCAATGACTACCTACGGGGAAATGGGGAGGGGACATGGACAAAGGCAGCAGGACCAGAAAAAGCAACAACATTGTGAGTATACTTTAGATGTCTTTACTTCTGAAACATACATGACTTTCATCCTCAAAAATTAAAATTAAATCATAAAAAAGCAAAACCTACAACTGGCAACAAGCAAATTAACCCATGCATATACAAAGAAAAGTATGTCAAGGGACTTTTGAACTACATATCATTAATAGAATATACTATAATGAAAAATAAAATATTTATCGGTATTGATAACACTCTCACAATTTTAGAACTACTTCATGTTGCACAATAAAGCAGTGTAAATACAATAAAACATGTTTATGATAAAGTATTAAATGTTCTCAGAAATTAAGGTTTTAGGCCGGCCATGGTGGCTCACACCCGTAATCCCAGCATTTGGCAGGCCAAGGCAGGTAAATCACTTGAGATCAGGAGTTCATGACCAGCCTGGCCAACATGGTGAAACCCCATCTCTACTAAAAATATGAAAAATTAGCCGGGTGTGCTGGTGCATGCCTGTAATCCCAGTCACTCGGGAGGCTGAAGCAGAAGACTAGCATGAACCCAGGAGGCAGAGGTTTCAGTGAGCCGAGATTATGTCACTGTGCTCCAGCCTGGGTAAACAGAACGAGACTCCATCTCAAAAAAAAAAAAAAAAAAAAAAAAAAAAAAAAAAAAATTAAGGTTTTCAGTGGAAAAGAGGAAAAAAAATCAAAGAAATTTTGAAAAACAACTTAAATTGGAAATCTATGAACTTTATTTTTGAATATATTTGCTTACTCTGTTTTTTAAAGGACTAGAATCAAAGGCAATCTGACAGCGGCACCCAGATTTTGGTCTCTTAGAACCATTTCCCGATAAAAGACGCTAGGGCTCTTGGGAAAATAAGTAGATTCAAGGGCCAGGGCAGACAAAGATGAGCCTGTTTCCTCAAAGAAAAAGCTGTTTCCTCAAACATGGCCAGGTGCGGTGGCTCACGCCTATAATCCTAGCATTTTGGGAGGCTGAGGCGGGCAGATCACTTGAGGTCAGGAGTTCGAGACCAGCCTAGCCAACATGCCGAAACCCCATCTCTTCTAAAAATACAAAAATTAGCTGGGCATGGTGGCAGGCGCCCATAATCCCAGCTACTTGGGAGGCTGAGGCAGGAGAATAGCCTGAACCCAGGAGGCGGAGGTTACAGTGGGCCAAGACTGTGCCACTGCACTCCAGCCTGGGTGACAGAGCAAGACTTTATCTCAAAAAAAAAAAAAAAAAAAAAAAAAAAAAAAGCAGCTGTTCAAAGATGATAGGGACTCCTGGCCAAATTTATAATAATTATAATAACTGTGAGCATCAAAATCAAAAATGCCTTTGCTTGTCAACATTTGTGAGTCAGAAAAGGCTTCCCAGAACAGGAAAAGGGAGCATTTCAGACACTGGGGGAAGGCATCCATTCTGAAAACTGCGTATGTGACAGAAGCTCCCTTGTCTGGCAAAACAAAAGCCATTTTTAATTAAAAGAGACAGATGTTTGCCCATCTTTTTTTTTTTTTAACTTCTGTGGATACACACTAGTTGTATGTATATATATATGGGTTATATATTCTATCTAACTCTTTTTTTTTTGGAGACGGATCTCGTTCTGGCACTAAGCTGGAGTGCAGTTGTGCGATCTCAGCTCACTGCAACCTTTGCCTTCTGGGTTCAAGGGTTTCTCCTGCCTCAGCCTCCCGAGTAGCTGGGACTACAGGCTCACACCACCACACCCAGCTAATTTTTGTATTTTTGGTAGAGATGGGGTTTCACCGTGTTGGCCAGGATGGTCTGGGTCTCTTGACCTCATGATCCACCTGACTTGGCCTCCCAAAGAGCTGGGATTACAGGCGTAAGCCACTGTGCCCAGCCCTATCTAACTCCATTTTTATACCCATTAACCATCCGCACTTCACCCCCACTTTATCCTTCCCAGTCTCTGATAACCATCATTCTACTCTATCTCCATGAGTTCAATTACTTTCATTTGCTTAGCACCTACAAATAAGTGAGAACATGCAAAGTTCGATTTTCTGGGTCTGGCTCATGACATTCTGTTCCTGACTTAACATAACGACCTCCAGTTCTATCCATGTTGTTGCAAACGGCAGTATCCCATTCTTTTTCATGGTTGAATAGTACTCCGTTGAGTATATATACCACATTTTCTTCATCCATTCATCTGCTGGGAACACTTAGGTTGCTTCCAAATCTTGGCTATTGAGAATAGTGCTGCAATAAACATGAGAGTGTACATATTTCTTCAACATACTGATATTCTTTCCTCTGGGTATATACCTACCAGTGGGATTGCTGAATCATATGATAGTCCTATTTTTAGTTTTTTGAGGAACCTCCAAGCTAATCTCCATAATGGCTGTGCTAATTTACATTCCCACCAACAGTGCACAAGGGTTCCCTTTTCTCTATATTCTTGCCAGCATTTGTTCTTGTCTTTTGGATATAAGCCATTTTAATTAGGGTGAGATAATATCTCATTATAGTTTTGATTTGCATGTCTCTGATGACCAACCATGTTGAGCACCTGTTCGTACTGCCTGTTTGTCATTTGTATATCTTCTTTTGAGAAATGTCTATTCAAATCTTTTGCCCATTCTTATTGGATTATTAGATTTTTTTCCTATAGAGTTGCTTAAGCTAATTATATATTCTGGTTATTAATCCTTTGTCAGATGGGTAGTTTGCAAATATTTTCTCCCATTCTGTGGGTTGTCTCTTCATTTTGTTGATTGTTTCCTTTGCTGTGCAGCTTTTTAACTCAATGTGATCCCACTTGTCCATTTTAGCTTTGGTTGCCTGTGTTTACGAAGTATTACTCAAGAAATCACTACCCAGTGCAATGTCCTGGAGAGTCTCCCCAATGTTTTCTTTTAGCACTTTCATAGTCTGAAGTCTTAGGTTTAAGTCTTTACTCCATTTTGATGTGATTTTCGTATATGGTGAGAGATAGTGGTCTAGTTTCATTTTTCTGCATATGGGTGCCCCATTTTCCCAGCACCATTTATCAATGAGGCTATCCTTTCCCTCATGTATCCTCCGGGCACCTCTGTCAAAGGTGAGTTCACTGTAGATGTATAGATCTGTTTCTGGGTTCTCTATTCTGTTCCATTGGTCTAGGTGTCTGTTTTTATACCAGTACCATGCTGTTTTGGTATACCTTTCTAGTAAACTTTGCACTTGATCTAAGCCAAAAAAGACCAGGAAGTGACTGTAGTATAATTTTAAGTCAGGTAATGCAATTTCTCCAGTTTTGTTTTTTGCTCAGGATGGCTTTGGCTATTCTGTCTCTTGTGATTCCATACAAATTTCAGGATTTTTTTTTTCTATTTCTGTGAAGAATGTCATTGGTATTTTGATAGGGATTACATTGAACCTGTAGATTGCTTTGGGTAGTACAGACATTTTAACAATATTGATTCTTCCAATCCATGAACACAGAGTATCTTTTCCTTTTCTGTGTGTCTTCTTCAATTTTCTGCATCAATGTTTTACAGTTTTCGTGGTAGAGATCTTTTCACTTCTTGGGTTAGGTTTATTCCTACGTATTTTACTTTATTTGTAGCTATTATAAATGGAATTATTTTTCTTGATTTATTTTTCATATTGTTCACTGTTGACATATAGAAATGCTACTGATTTGGCTGGGCAAAGTGGCTCATACCTGTAATCCCAGCACTTTGGGAGGCCGAGGCAGGCGGATCACCTGAGGTCAGGAGTTCGAGACCAGCCTGGCCAATGTGGTGAAACCCTGTCTCTACTAAAAATACAAAAATTAGCCAGGCCTGGTGGCAGGCGCCTGTAATCCCAGCTACTCAGGCGGCTAACACAGGCGGATCGCTTGAACCCAGGAGGCAGAGGTTGCAGTGAGCCGAGATTGCGCCATTGCTTTCCAGCCTGGGCCACAGAGTGAGACTCCATCTCAAAAAAAAAAAAAAAAAAAAAAAGAGAGAGAGAAATGCTACTGATTTTTGTATGTTAATTTAGTATCCTGCAATTTTACTGAATTTATCAGTTCTAATCATTTTTTGGTGGAGTTTTTAGGTTTTTCCAAATACAACAATCATCTGCAAACAAGAGTAACTTGGCATCTTCATTTCCAATTTGGATGCCCTTTATTTCTTCTTCTTTTTTTTTTTTTTTCTGAGATGGAGTCTTGCTCCATAGCCCAGGCTGGAATACAGCGGCACAATCTCAGCTCACTGCAATCTCCACCTCTGGGGTTCAAGTGATTTCCCTGCCTCAGCCTCCCGAGTAGCTGGGACAACAGACACCCGCCACCACGCCTAGCTAATTTTTATATTTTTAGTAGAGATAGGGTATCACCGTGTTGGCCAGGCTTCAAACTCCTGACCTCAAGTGATCCACTCACCTCAGCCTCCCAAAGTGCTGGGATTACAGGTGTGAGCCACTGCACCCGGCCTTTCTCTCTCTTATCTGACTCCTGTAGCAAGGGCTTCCATTATTATATTGAATAACAGTGGTGACAGTGGGCATCCGTGTCTTGTTCCAGATCTTAGAGGAAAGGCTTTCAGTTTTTCACCTTTCAGTATGATACTAGCTGTGTGTCAGTTGTATATGGCTTTTATTGCGTTGAGGTGTGTTCCTTCTATAACCAGTTTTTTGGGGTTTTTATCATGAAAGGATGTTGAATTTTATCAAATGCCTTTTCAGCATGAATTTAAATGATCATATGGTTTTTTATCCTTCATTCTATTGATATGATGTATCAAACTGATTGATTTGGATATGGTGAACCATCCTGGCATCCCTGGGATAAACCCCACTTTGGTCATGATGAACGATGTTTCTAATGTGTTGTTGAATTCGGTTTGCTGGTATTTTGTTGGGTATTTCTGCATCAATGTTCATCTGGGATACTGGCCTGTTTTGTTTTTTTGATTATGTCTTTGTCTGGTTTTGGTATCAGGGTAATATTGGCCTTCTACAATAAGTTTGGAAGTATTCCCTCCTCCTCTATTTTTCAGAATAGTTTCACTAGGATTGGTAATAGTTCTTCTTTAAATGTTTGGTAAAATTCAGCAGTGAAGTCACTGGGTCCTGGGGTTTTTCTTTGCTGGAAGACTTTTTATTATTACAGTTTCAATCTCATTACCTGTTATTGGTATGTTCAGGTTCTGGATTTCTTCATGGTTCAAACTTGGAAGGCTGTATGTGCCTGTGAAATTATCCATTTCTTTTTCCTTCTTTTTTTGAAGACACAGTCTCACTCTTTCACCCAGGGTGGAGTGCAGTAACATGATCTCAGCACACTGCAACCTCCCCCTCCCAGGGCTCAAGTGACTCTCGTGCCTCAGCCTTCCAAGTGGCTGGAATTACAGGCACGCAAAACCACACCTGGTTAATTTTTGTATTTTTAGTAGAGATGGAGTTTCACCATGTTGGCCAGACTGGTCTCAAACTCCTGACCTCAAGCGATCCACCCGCCTCAGCCTCCCAAGGTGCTGGGATTACAGGTATGAGCCACCACGCCCAGCCTGCAAACTTATCTATTTCTTCCACGTTTCCCAATTTATTGACATATAGCTGTTCATAGTCTCTAATGACCCTTTGAATTTCTGCAATATCAGTTGTAATGCCTACTTTTTCACCTCTGATTTGGGTCTTCTTTTTCTCTTAGCCTGCCTGAAAGCTTGTCAATTTATCTTTTAGAAAAACCAACTTTTCATTTCATTGATCTTTTGTATTATTTTCTTCATTTCAACTCCATTTTATTTCTGCTCTAATTTTTATTATTTCTGTCCTTAAAATTATGGGTTTGGTTAGCTCCTTCATTTCTAGTTCTTTAAGATGTATCATTAGGTTATTTATTTGAAGTTTTTCTACTTTTTTGATTTTCCTCTTAGTATTGCTTTCACTATATCCCACAGGTTTCGTATGCTGTGCTGCCATTGCCATTTGCTTCAAGAAATTGTTTAATTTCATTCTTAATTTCTTCACTGACCTGTTGGTCATTCAGGAGCATATTGTTTAATTCCCATGTGTTGGTGGAGTTTCCAAAATTCCTCGTTATTGATTTTTAGTTATAGTCCATTGTGATCAGAGAAGATACTTAACATAATTTTTTTAACTTTTATATGGCAAAAGAGGAATCTAGCTTCATTCTTCTGCATATGAATATCAAGTTTTCCCAACACCATTTATTGAAGAGATTGTCTTTTCCCCAGTGTTTGTTCTTGGTACCTTTGTCGAAAATGAGTTCACCGTAGATGTGCGGATTTGTTTCTGGATTCTCTATTCTGTTCCGTTGGTCTGTGTCTGTTTTATGCTAGTACTATGCTGTTTTGGTTACTATAGCTCTGTAGTATAATTTGAAGTCAGGTAATCTGATTCCTCCAGTTTGTTTCTTTTTAATTACGAGAGCTTCGGCTATTCTGGGTCTTTTGTGGTTCAACATGAATTTTAGGATTTTTTTTTTTTCTGTTTCTGTGAAGAATGTCATTGGTATTTTGCTAGGGATTGCACTCAATCGGTAGATTGCTTTGGGTAGTATGGACATTTTAACAATATTGATTCTTCCGATCCATGAAGATGAAATATTTTTCCATCTTTTGTGTCCTCTTTAATGTCTTTCATCAGGGTTTTAGAGTTTTCATTACAGAGATCTTTGTAATTATCTTCTTTGGTTACTTCCCAGGTACTTAATTTCATGTGTGGCTACTATAAATGGGATTAGTTTTCTAATTTTTTTCATATTGTTTACTGTTGGCACACAGAAATGCTACTGATTTTTGTATGTTGATTTCGTATACTGCAACTGTACTGAATTTATCAGCTCTAATCATTTTCTTGTGGAGTCTTTAGGTTTTTCCACATATAAGATCATATCATCTGCAAACAAGGATAATTTGACTTCTTCCTTTCCAATGTGGAGGCCTTTTATTTCTTTCTCTTGTCTGATTGCTCTAGCAAGAACTTCCAGTACTATGTTGAATAACGGTGGCCACACTGAGCATCCTTGTCATGTTCCAGATCTTAGAGGAAAGACTTTCAGTTTTTCACCATTCAGTATGATACTAGCTGTGGGTCTGTCATATACGGCTTTTATTATGTTGAGGTATGTTTCTTCCATAATCAGTTTTAAGAGATTTTATCATGAAAGGATGTTGAATTTTATCAAATGCCTTTTCAGCATCGACTGAAATAATCACATGGTTTTTATCCTTCTGTTGACATGATGTGTCACATCGATTGATTTGCATATGTTGAACCATCCTTGTACCCCAGGGATAAACCCCACTTCATCACAATGAACGATCTTTCTAACGTATTGCTGAATTTGGTTTGCTAGTATTTTGTTGAGGATATTTGCATCAATATTCATCAGAGACATTGGCCTGTAGTATTCTTTCTTTGACGTGTCTTTGTCTGCTTTTAGTATCAAGGTTTCAATTTTTAATGACTTATTTTGTGGCCTAACATATGGTCTAACCTTGAGGACGATCCATGTGCTAAAGAGAACAATGTAAATTCTGCAGCCATCAGATGAAATGTTCTAGAAATATCTATTAAATCCATTTGGTCTACAGTGCAGATTAAGTTTGATGTTTCTTCGTTAATTTTGTCTGGATGATCTGATCTGTCCAATGCTGAAGTGGAGTGTTGAAGCCTCCATCTATTAATGTATTAACGCCTCTCTCTCTCTTTAGCTGTAATATTTGTTTTATGTATCTGGGTGCTCTAGTGTTGAGTGCATATATACATATATTTATAATAGTTATAGCCTCTTGCTGAATTGGCCCCTTTATCATTACATAATGACTTTTTTGGTCTCCTTTTATAGTTTTGGTCTTGAAATCTATTTGGTCTGATATAACCGCTATGCTCTTTTGTGATTTCCATTTGCCTCTCCCTTTTTCCATCCCTCTGCACTGTCCTGAAGAGATGGTCTCCAATCTGAAGAAGCAAGCAGCCAATGAACTGCCTGTGGGGAGGGGCAGCCTCCAAGAGCCCAGGGTTTCAGTCCCACAACCACAATGGATTCAATTCTACCAATGAGGACCTGAGCTCCAGATGACAGCGTGCCCTAGCCAACACCTTGACTACAGCCTGTGACACCTGAAGTAGAGGATAGAACTAAGCTATGGCCAGACTCCTGACCCACAGAAACTGTGAGAGTGTAAATGCTTGTTGTTACAAGCTGCCAAATTTGTGTTTGGTAACTTGTTCTGTAGCGACAGAAACCAAGCCAGCATCCTTCAGTTTTTGTAGAAGGAACAGCTTTCCCTCAGCACTGTTATTTTTTCTGTTCACATCACTAACAGGATAACTGCCATAAACATACTTGGAACCAAAACATATGACTTTTGGTAAAAATATCAGCTGGTGGGGGAGAGGTAAACTCCTTCCTAAAAAGTGAGCCCTGGCCAGATAGAGTGACTCACATCTCTAATCCCAGCACCTTGGAAGACTGAGGCAAGAGAATCACTTGTGCCCAGGAGTTCAAAACCAATCTAAGCAACATAGCAAGACCCTGTCTCTACAAAAAAATTGTAAAATTGGCCAGAAAGCTGGGCATGGTGGCTCACACCTGTAATCCCAGCACTTGGGAGGCCACGGCGGGTGAATTGTTTGAGCTCAGGAGTACAAGACCAGCCTGAACAACATGGCAAAACCGCATTTCTACCAAAAATACAAAAAATTAGCCAGAGGTGGTGGCGCGCCTGTACTCCCAGCTACTTGGGAGGCTGAGGTGGGAGAACTGCTTGAGACCAGGAGGTAGAGGCTGCAGTGAGTTGAGATCACTCCACTGTACTCCAGCCTGGGCAACAGAGCAAGACCCTGTCAAAAAAAATTTTTAATTTAAATTTAAAAAATTAAAATAATATAAAAAATAAAATTAAAAAGTGAGCCAAAAACATTCAGGGCCCCTGAAGTTTAACGAGTGAATGGAAAGCTTTGACTCTTCTAGTCTTCAGTCAGAGGAGAGCAGTGAATACGTGCACTGGGGTTCAGTCCAAACCCTACCACAATGCACATGATAAGAGGCTAACAGTGGTCAGAACTCACAGCTCCATGTGGGCCGTGCTCCAGGAGTTTCAGACTATCTTTAGGCACTCAAGGGAATACGACATTTGACCCGTGTCTTAAAGTGTTTCAGAAAACAGAAACAGAGAAGGTGAACTAAGAAGCTATTACTGGCCAGGCACGGTGGCTGACGCCTGTAATCCCAGCACTTTGGGAGGCCGAAGCGGGTGGATCATGAAGTCAGGAGATAAAGACCATCCTGGCTAACACAGCGAAACCCCATCTCTACTAAAAATACAAAAAATTAGCCAGATGTGGTGGCAACGCACCTATAGTCCCAGCTACTCGGGAGGCTGAGGCAAGGGAATTGCTTGAACCTGGGAGGCGGACGTCGCAGTGAGTGGAGATCGCACCACTGCACTCCAGCCTGGGTGACAGAGTGGGACTGCATCTCAAAAAAAAAAAAAAAAAAAAAAAAAAAGGCTATTACCAAGGGTCCAAAAAAGAAAGGATGACAGCAGAAGTCAACACAGGGAAGTACAGTCTTTAAGATTATTTCAGGCAGGGCACGGTGGCTCACATTTGTAATCCCAGCAGTTTGGGAGGCCAAGGTGGGCAGACTGCTTGAGCCCAGGAGTTCGAGACCAGCCAGAGCAACATGGTGAAACCCGGTCTCTACAAAAAATACAAAAATTAACCAGGCGTGGTGGTACGCACCTGTAGTCCCACTACTCAGGGGGCTGAGGTGGGAGGATCACCTGAGCCCGGGGAGGTTAAGGCTGCAGTGAGCCGTGACGGTGCCACTGCATTCCAGCCTGGGCAACAGAGTGAGACCCTGACTTAAAAAACAAAAAAAGAAACTATTTCAAATCACGTAAGTTAAATCAAATGTGAAAGGGAAAATAAGGGAGGGAACAGAAGAGGAATGAGAATTAGTTCCGTTTTAACCACTAAGATTTGCACTAACTACTGAACATAAACATGGAGCTCCTCCCCACTCCACCAACCCTCAGTAAATATAGATCCAGATCTTAGCAGAGTGTTCAGGGCTAGAGACTCAAATCTGGGAGTAGTCAACAAATGGACTGTAGGTGATGTCCTGGAGAAGATGCCAACACCCAAGCAGAGAGGGGAGACCCCTGCCCAGCCCTGAAAGCACTCTAAGATCGCCCCAGACTGGCTGGGCTCCACACATCAGTGTTCTGCGGTACAGCCTAGATTGAGAAACATTAGTGTTACAGAGGTACCATTTTAAAAAAAAAAGCCAAAAGATGGAACATTTAAAGACTAAGCCAAGGAGGAAGCCCAGTTTACATGGAAACAAGAATAATTACCACCACCTTTCGATTATTACCTGGGTAGCACTGGGAAGGAAGAGGATAGGCCAGACCTTGTCCTTCTGAGTAACAAGGAATTCTTTTTTGGAAGGTAGACACTGGACTCCTGGAAGGACATGCACTGTGGAAGCCTCCTAGGAACTGATGACCCAAATAAATGGTAAGCACCATTCAAAAAACTATTTGGGCACCTTAAAGGTGGAACATTACTAAGGCAATAAAGCAAGCCTCACTGGAGGAGGTCTCCAGAGAGTTAGACTCTGAACAAGCAAAAGTGAAGCCCAGGAGAAGAGCTCTCCAGATCACAAACAGTACAGGATCCTGACTGAGGAAGCAGCAGCCTGGGAACAACTGGAAGACAGCCGTGGCACTGAGAAGAATGGAGACTACAGGCAGGGCGTGGTGGCCCACGCCGTAATCCCAGAGCTTTGGGAGGCCAAGACAGAAGAACTGCTTGAGGCCAAGATTTCAAGATCAGCCTGGGCAACATGGTAAGACCGTGTCTCTACAGAAATGTAAAAATTACCCAAGTGCATGGCACGTGCCTGTAATCCCAGCTACTCAGGAGGCTACAGCAGGACGGTCACCTGCACCCAGGAGTTTGAGGTTACAGTAAGCTCTGATCACACCACAGCATTCCAACCTGGGTGACAGAGACCCTATTCATTTAAAAAAAAAAAAAGAAAGAAAAAGAAAAAAATGAATGGGACTTTCCATTTGTAAAGTGAGAGTATTTATTTCTACAACTGTCTCCAATTAGCTTTTTATTAGTAGCTGACTTACCTAAACGTGCCCAGTAGCTTTTCAACTTTTGACTTTTTTGGTTCAGATCCCAGAAGCTTCTAATTAGGTTATTTGGGCTAAGAACTCTTTTCCAATCTTTTCCAATCTCACATTCCTATCTTACACCTCTGAAATGACATGGCAAGTAAAGGCACTTTCATCGTCAAAAGACCCCAGCAAAAGAGGCAGTAACAGGCTCACTTTTTGTAAGTTACTAAACTGAAGCTCAGAAGGCCAATGACTTGACCAAAGGCCACACAACACTGAGGCTGTGAGAGGCGGGATTTGGGAAGAGGCCCAACTCCAAGGCTTATTCGCTTCCCACCAACACCATAACATGCACCCACACCTGCAGCACGGCAGCCAGGGCAAGCCTTCACGCTCCCATACATAGGCCACCAATATTTTAATACCAATCAGGACTAGGCAAGCAAACAGTTAAGGCATTTTTTTTTTTTTTTTTTTTTTGAGACAGAGTCTTGCTCTGTCGCCCAGGCTCGAGTGCAGTGGCGCCATCTTGGCTCCCCGGGTTCATGCCATTCTCCTGCCTCAGCCTCCCGAGTAGCTGGGACTACAGGCGCACGCCACCACGCCCAGCTAATTTTTTGTGTATTTTTAGTAGAGACAGGGTTTCACCGTGTTAGCCTGGATGGTCTCGATCTCCTGACCTTGTGATCCACCCGCCTCGGCCTGGGATTACAGGCGGGAGCCACCGCACCCAGCCCGTTAAGGCATTTATTAAAGTGACTTCAGAACTATAGAGTCAGGCAATAAAATCCAAAACTGAATAATATAACAAATGAATATCTGATTAATGTATAGGTTAGAAAATGTTTCTTTTTCATGTCCTTACAATTTGACAGAAAAGTAATCTTCAAATATTTGCAGATGAGTAAAGGTATATGGCTTTTTTTCTTAAACCTACAGAAAAATACTAAACACCTACTGAACGTAGGACAACATATGAAAAAATGTTAAGAACAGGTTCCTAGAACAATTAGAAAGGTCAGACAGGAACATTAAGTACGTCGATTTGAAGACATCCTAGAAGCAGCAAGGGAGTGAGGTCTTCCTAAAGTCTAAGACCCACGAGAGGAAGAAAGAGGCCCAGAGAACCTAAGCACGCAGGGATGAGACTGAGAAGCAAAACGGAGCTTCTGAGAGACTCCCAGGGCCCTCATACAGGAGAAAGAGGCCTGGCAGATCCCATGCTCTGAGCTGGAACCTCAAAGGGCCACACACCAGAAATACAGGTGAGTTAGAAGTAGACCAGCCTTCACGGAAAACCAGCCCAGTTTCGCATTCTCTCAATTTCCAAAGGGACTGCAGTGACCTGGGATTGCCTAGAACATCCTCTCTGGAGGAAGATATTGTTACCTAGAGCCTCGATTTATTGCTACAATATTGCATATACAATATCTGAAAGTCAAGCAAATATAATAATGACAAAGATACAAGACCACATCATTGAAAAATGAAAAAAAAATAGAAGTCATTAGAACAGACTGAGTAGATCCTGAAAACAGAAACATAAAGACTTCTGTCATGAAAGAAGAGCCTGAGGAATGAACTGAAGTGTTGACACTCTGCTCAGCAGATGTCAGCTCGGGGCAATGGGGTGAGGGAAGTGGGAAAGCGAGACAAGGAGATCAATGAAGTAACGATATGCAGTATATGACTTCACAGTCAGCTAAGTGTGATTTTAGCCTACTCTGCCTATGTAGGAGCCATTCTTATTTCCTTTAATTTCCTAAAAAAAGAAAAATATATATTAAAAAAGAGTGATTTTATATTTTTCAATGGTTGCAACATAATCAAAAGAATCATATGTCAGCCAAGCACGGTGGCTCACACCTGTCATCTCAGACTTTGGGAGGCCAAGGCAGGCGGATCACGAGGTAAGGAGTTCACGACCAGCCTGGCCAACATGATGAAACCCCATCTCTACTAAAAATACAAAAAAAAAAATTAGTGAGGCATGATGGTACACGCCTGTAATCCCAGCTACTCCAGAGTCTGAGGCAGAACAATTGCTTAAACCCAGGAGGTGGAGGTTGCAGTGAGCCAAGATCGCGCCACTGCACTCCAGCCTGGGCAACAGAGCAAGACTCCCTCTCAGAAAAAAAAAAAAAAAAAATCATATGTCAACAAATGAAAATTATATGACATTCAAATTCTGGTATCCACGAAGTTTTCCTGGAATATAGCCATACACATGTTTGGCAGCTTCTCGCAGGACAATGGCCAAGGTGAGCTGTTCTAAAAGAGCACGTACGGCCCACATAAACATTTACTATCTGGTGCTTTACAGAAAAAATGTGCTGACCCCTATGTTAGTGCCACCTCTTCTCAATGAGCTGCAAATACAACCAACTGTTCAGCCAGCACATTCACTAGGCATATGTGGCTTTTCCAGAAGGTTTGCAAGAAGAAACTACACCATAAAATAGTCCAAAGAGGAAAGAAAAAAGGGAGGAATAAAAACACTGAGTTCCCTCATCTCTCCTTGTAAAGTGGTGAACGTTCATACCACAAGGAATTCACACCCACACACACTCGCCACACCTTCCAGGCTGTGTCACTGGCTCCTTGGTAGGCAGTCAGGAAGCCATACTCCAACTCTCTTGCGTGACATCACAGCGGAGACTGGAGCCGAAGGGCGGCTCACAGGCATGAGTCAGCCAAGAGGGACAGAGAGAGGCGGCTAAGGAATCTATGGGGTCGGACAAGGTTTATAAACACACTTTTAAAATAACTACCTTTAATAGAGTCAAGCAATTAAAAGATCCTATTAACAGCCGGGCACGGTTCATGCTTGTAATCCCAGCACTTTGGGAGGCCAAGGCAGGCGGATCACGAGGTCACGAGTTCAAGACCAGCCTGGCCAATCTGGTGAACCCCCATCTCTATTAAAAATACAAAAATTAGCCAGGTGTGGTGGCGGGCACCTGCAGTCCCAGCTACTCGGGAGGCTGAGGCAGGAGAATCACTTGAACCCAGGAGATGGAGGTTGCAGTGAGCCGAGATTGTGCCACTGCACTACAGCCTGAGCGACAGAGCGAGACTCCTTGTCAAAAAAAAAAAAAAAAAAAAAAGATCACATTAACAATTTCAACACAGAAGTTGAAACTAGAAAAAAATACCTAAAGTGGCAGTTAAAGAAACTGTCAAACATTTCAAACTAAACATTTTAAAGGGATGTGTTTAATATAATTATACCTCAATAAAGTTGATATGTTTAAAAAATGGAAATTCTGGAATAGAAAAATATAATAGTAAAATTTAAAACTCAATGGATTTGATTAAAAACAGATTGGGAAGGCCTGTGCTTCCTCCACCTATAAAGGATGAATTCTGTAGAAATCACTTCCTTGCTATAATCAACTAGAAAACCAGACAGAATATACCGAAAAGCTGTTACCAAAAACTGGACAACAGACAGCCCAGAGCTGGGATGCCTGAGAGAAGGGAAACACTGCCCAGAAGCAGCTTCCAGGCTGCAGCACAGGAAAGGGGAACCCAAATAGAGCCCAAAGAACTTGCTGAGCTCAGGAGACAGATCAGCTATACGTAGGCCAAATGACAAGAATACAGCAAGCTCCAGAGATGAGTGGAGGGGCCCCTTGAGTATCTGTCTGAGTACTACTCTGAGCATAGGTTAAGAAAACTATGGAATACTGGGGAAAGCAGCACTAGAAAGTAATAAGCAGCACTGCCATGATGCATAGTCTGGGAAAAGCCTGTGTTTCCACAAACAAGGAAAGAAAGATCTTCTCATACACCAAGCATCAGGTGGAGTCCTGAGAACAGTATTGCCTTCGTTGTATGGATAAATGAGCCCAAGAGTAAAGCCTGTGTGGATCAGCCTAACAAACCTCAGAATCAAGCTTTGAAAAGATCAAACTGACCCCATGTAACTTACATGTATGGCAGAAGAAAACTAAGGCTCTTTAAAAAAATAAAACAAAATCCTGCACAGAAGATAAAATTAATGCCTAGCATTCAATCAAAAATTAGCAGGCATACAACCATGCCCCCATAACTAGGGCAATCAATCAATAGAAATGACAGAATCAATCAACAGAGATGGATCTAGAAGTGATCAGAGATTACAGAATTCACAGACAAGGACATTAAAAGCTCTCTTACAGAAATGCTCCCTATACTAATAGAAGGAAAGCATGAATGTTATAAGGAGTGAAACAGAAGATATAAAAAGGACTCAAATGGAATCTCTAGAAATGAAAATACAAAATGGATGGATGAGATTAACAGAACTGCATAACAGTTACAACCATAATCTACAATGTCTAAGCACATGGCTATGCCATGCTCTCTCCCTTAACACTCATGCAGTCTAGGTTTAACAAATAACTGTTTCATGCCCATCATCAGTTGCAGGTTGATCTACAGTCATCCAGTTGTCTAAAGATCTTTCTCCACTCCATTCCTAAGGAAGGGCTCATGAGAACAATACTTCCTAAGTTACAGCTCACTGAGAAGTTTGTGTGTTTTTCATCTGAAAAGTCGGTTTTGCTGGAACAAAAAATGCTTTACTCACATTTTCTTTTCTTGAGTGCCTTAAACAGGATACTCAATTTCTTCTTCATAAAGAATTGTCATCTGCTGGGCTCAGTGGCTCACTGCTGTAATCCCACCACTCTGGGAGGCCAAGGCAGGTGGACTGCCTGAGCTCAGGAGTTCAAGACCAGCCTGGGCAACATGGTGAAACCCCATCTCTACTAAAAATATAAAAAATTATCTGGGTGTGGTGGTGCACACTTGTAATTCCAGCCACTTAGGAGGCTGAGGCACGAGAATGGCTTGAACCTGGGAGTGGAGGTTGCAGTGAGCTGAGATAGTGCCACTGTACTCCAACCTGGGCAACAGAGTGAGACTCTGTCTCAAAAAAAAAAAAAAAAAAAAAGGAATTGTCATCAAAGTCCTACGGCTAAACCCTTTTCCTTTTTTTTATAACAAGTATTGCTAGTCTTTTCCAAGAACCAAAGTTAAAAGTTAGTTCTTTAAAACACCAGGCCAGGCACAGTGGCTCACACATCTAATCACAGCACTTTGGGAGGCCAAGGCAGGAGGATCACTTGAATGCAGAAGTTCTAGACCAGCCTGGACAACAAAGCAAGACCCTGCCTCTACAAAAAACTTTTTTTTTTGCTGCAAAATGCTCTTAATTAACCTGACAAAATGCCACATACAGGGTTACTGCATCTTTTTTATCATGGAATTTTGAAAACAAAAATTGTTCTCTTGAGGCAGCAGTATTTGGATATTAGAGGTAAAAACCACCCTTAGAATCCAGTCCTAAAAACATCAATGAATATTCCTATATTTACAAATTCTTCTATTTCTACATGTCATCTATCAACAGGATTATGAACCTGAAAGCCTGAGAATAGAATTTATCAAGATACTCATGTTTGTACTTTTTTTATCTACTGCCCTTTTTTATTTTTTTTGAGACAGATTCTCGCTCTCTCACCAGGCTGTAGTGCAGTGGCGCGATCTCAGCTCACTACAACCTCCGCCACCTGGGTTCAAGCGATTCTCCTGCCTCAGCCTCCTAAGTAGCTGGGACTACAGGCACGTGCCACCACACCCAGCTAATTTTTGTATTTTTAGTAGAGATGGGGTTTCACCATGTTGGCCAGGATGACCTCGATCTCCTGACCTCAGCCTCCCAAACTGTTAGGATTACAGGCTAAGCCACCACACCCGGCCATCTACTGATATTTCTAAGCATGAAGTGACATTTTTTTTTTTTGAGAAGGAGTCTTGCTGTGTTGGCCAGGCTGGAGTGCAATGGCATGATCTCGGCTCACTGCAACCTCCACCTTCTGGGTTCAAGCAGTTCTCCTGCCTCAACCTCCCAAGTAGCTGGGATTACAAGCGCACACCACCACACCTGGCTCATTTGTATTTTTAGTAGAGACAGGGTTTCACCATGGGGGCCAGGTTGGTTTTGAACTCCTGACCTCAAGTGATCCGCCCTCCTCGGCCTCCCAAAGTGCTGTGATTACAGGCGTGAGCCACCGCGCCCAGCCGAAGTGACAATATTTATATACAATAAGTTTAACTGTAAAAGCTTACATTTATGCGTGGTCATTTTTAATTGATGATTAGATGAAGAGACAAATAAATGGTCCCAGTTTAGCTACTGATATACTCAACAAACCTTGACGGACCTGAGGGCATTATGCTGAGTAAAGAAAATCATTTCCGAAGGTCACATATCACTTGGTAATCTCACAGTAACAAAATTATAGAGATGGAGAACAGATCAGTGGTTGGCAGGAGTTAGAGATGGTGGCAGAAGAGAGGCAGGAGAGAGATCTTTCTGGTGATGAAACAGTTCTGCATAGGAAATTGTAGTAGTAGTTATATTTACAGACACTTGATAGAATGGCACAGAACTACGCACACACATTGTACCAACTTCAATTTCTGGGTTTTTATACTCTATTATGGTTACATAAAATGTAACCACTGGGGCAGTATGCGCAAATATACAATGACCTCTCTAGTTTCTTTACAACTTCCTGAGAGTCTATTATTATTTCAAAATAAAAAGTTTTTTTAAAAATTGCTTCATGCATATCTAGTTTCATGTGCCACTTAAAAAAGAACCCAAAAATAGAAACTGTAGGAAATTCATCTGAGTGCAGCTTATGCAAGAAGGGGCAGGATAACTCCATTCTGGACCTATGCTCAAAGACATGCACCTTTACCTTACAACAAAACTGGCGAACAGGCATGTGTTTTAAGAATAAAAAGCTTTTAAGGTCTCATATATTGGTTTTTATGATTCCTTTGCTTAACTGACTTTTTGGTTTGCTAAAAAACTACCAATCACATCAGATTAGAAGTACTTTCACGGTAAAAATAAAAAGTGATGTGACTGACACCTCTTACCTCTGTAATGTATTACTCTTCACGAGAGCAGTGAAGGAAAACATGGTGATTCAATCACTCCACACATCAAGCAGAAAAGAGTGTTGAACAGGCCGGGCGCGGTGGCTCACGCCTGTAATCCCAGCACTTTGGGAGGCCGAGGCGGGTGGATCACTTGAGGTCAGGAGTTCAAAACCAGCCTGGCCCACATGGTGGAACCCTGTCTCTACTAAAAGTACACAAAATTAGCCAGGCGTGGTGGTGGACACCCGTAGTCCCAGCTACTCGGGAGGCTGAGGCAGGAGAATGGCATGAACCCAGGAGGCTTGCAGTGAGCCAAGATGGCACCACTGCACTCCAGCCTGGGAGACAGAGTGAGACTCCGTCTCAAAAAAAAAAAAAAAAAGTGTTGAACAATTAAACTGTTTATATGTAATAACCAGATATATATGCCTGGCATAAAATGAGCCCTGCATTAGAGGTTGCTGGATGTAGGGTCCTAGGCCTGACGTATCCAAATAATGTCTATGATAAAGAAGTCAATAAGTGCTCTCTATAACACACAAGCATTATAAGTTTTCACACTCCAAAAACTCTTCCTTTCTAAAGTTACTAAAACTTTTAAGGGCATTTCGAACAAAAACAGCTGTGGAAAACAGATCGGTTAAATCCTATGGCTAAGAAACATCTTCCTATCCCATGTATTATTCATTACCCAGGTGTCAATTCTGTTTCCAATACAAAAGTCTCAAGCAGTGAAGCGCTTCCCACTCCAGCTGGGAGAGCCATCCTCAACAAGATAAGGGTAAAACCTGTGAGCACAAGGCTTCCATCTGCAATTCCTGTCTGCAGGGAAGCTCCCCAAAGAGGGAAACCATGTCTTATTCCTTACGGTAAAACACCACCATTCATTCCTTGTGTTTAACAACCAATGCTGGTGGAACATAAAACAAAACTTAGCAATCACTTTTTTCATGCTACTTAGACCTGTAACACATTTTTCCTCTGGTGCACACTATCCAAAACCTAGTCGTTTCCCTTACTCCTAGGAGGAATTTAGATGACTTTTTTTTTTGGCCAGGTGCAGTGGCTCACGCCTGTAATCCCAGCAATTTGGGAGGCCGAGGCAGGCAGATCGCTTTGAGGTCAGGAGACCAGCCAGGCCAACACAGTGAAACCCCATCTCTACTAAAAATACAAAAATTAGTCGGGCATGCATGGTGGCACACACTTGTAATCCCAGCTACTCGGAAGGCTGAGGTGGGAGAATCACTTGCATTCGGGAGGCGGAAGTTGCAGTGAGCCAAGATTGCGCCACTGCACGCCAGCCTGGGCGACAGAGCAAGACTGCGTCTCAAAAAAAAGACTTTCTAATCATATTGGAAATGTGTAACAAGGACCAAGTACTGTGTATTAAACTTAATAAATCAAAACAACAGGCCCTCTAAGATATAAATGGTGCTTCACTGTATGTTTATCTGCCCAACCCATCATAGGAACTCAATTCAGCATTAAACTGGTTTTAGATCAAGACACTAGAACTCATGTTTAGCAGTTATTAAATTACAATTATTAAGAAAAAAACTTCATTACGTAAAGTCCTTTACTCCAAAAAGTTTCTCAAAATACATAAACACTAATATAAAAACAACTATTAAAACTTTGCCTGAATCTCAGGATTTCAGAAATATGAAAGTACTCATCTCTCACGTCTCCCATCCACTTAAAATGACAAAACAGATCATTATAGCTAAATCAAAGGAAATGTTTAAAGAGAAACAAACCCAAAGAGTAACTACACCAATTCTTGACCCAATTCTCTGTACTCTGTCTTATGTAACATTACACTATGAATAACAATCCCATCATCCACAACAGCTTTTTTTTTTTTTTTTGAAAAAAAAGCTCTCATTGTCCAGGCTGGAGTGCAACGGCACAATCTTGACCCACTGCAACCTCCACCTCCCGGGTTCAAGCGATTCTCCTGCCTCAGCCTCCCGAGTGGCTGGGATTACAGGCATACACCACCACGCCTGGCTAATTTTGTATTTTTAGTAGAGACGGGGTTTCACCATGTTGGTCAGGCTGGTCTCCCAACTCCTGACCTCAGGGCATCCACCCGCCTCGGCCTCCCAAACTGCCGGGATTACAGGCGTGAGCCACTGCGCCCAGCCACACAACACAGCTCTAAACACTGGACTCTCATATCTACCAACACTCAATACCTGTTTAAAAAGAAAAAAAAAATTAGGAAGGGGCAATAACACTTCAGTGTAAGTATCCATGATCAACTACTGCTTAACAGCCTACACGACTTTTGATGAACAGTCAAGGCACATTACTTAATACTTAAAATGGTTAACCTTAGGGAGTAGGAAAATACAGACACACACAAAATATTTCAAACACTTCTTTTTGCTGCTGATAAGGAGTTCCAAAAGTAGTTTTTCCAAGCCATTTCCAAATAAAAGTAGATTGGGTGTAAAGAACTGTCTATCGAAATATTACCGTTATTATTTATTTAATAATGTCCTGACAAGCTTGCAATTATCTCATTAAATCAAAAAATTAGGATCTAAGGCCAACATTGTTTCCTCATATTCTTGATGTGAAAATCTGAGCACTCCTCTTAATAAGGAGTTACAAAGACAAAACAAACAGCTCAACTGAACTAACTCTTGTCTCTCCAGAAACACAAACACAAGACCTCATAAAATGAGTGAGTTTCTATAGGCCATAATTACTGCAACTTACTTCTCCAATTTTCCCCTCCACAGTTAACTCAACAGCTCAAAAACGATCAGTAACAAACAACAGTCACCATGATATGGTTAGGAGTGTGGCAGATTTCTTAACCAGTAATAATAAATAGGAAAAAAATTTTCTCTATTAATAGATCTCAAGTTTCGTGCACTTGCAAGAAACTAATTAAAAGGCAGCCGCGCACGATCTACAAAAACAGCCATAAGACTGTTACATTTTAAGTTACAGGAAATAAACCTGCTCCTCTAATTCAGCAAGATACAACTGACTTCCCCTTACATACCCTAAAAAAAAGCCTTACACGAGAAATTTAAACATGGAAGCAGAAACACACCAAGAAAAAGACATGTCAAACCCCACCTGTATATCTGTTTTCAACCATTTGGAGTCGAGGCGAGCCTGGGCAGCCAAACACAAAGATTCAGAGGGCATCTTTTCTCCAGCTTCCTCCCAGGTCTCAGGCCTGCAAGTAAACACATACGCTGAAGACCTAATGCTTTTTAATAGTTTACAAAGACACTCCCGAAAGGTTCAATGCAGAAAAGAAAAAAGAGAGAGAGAACAGAAAGGGGGGAGAGAAGAGCTGGTGGAGGGGAGAGAAGGGGAGAGAGGGAAAGAGGGAAGAGATGGAGAGAGAGGGAGGTGGGGAAGGGAAAGCCTCCTTCCAAGGTAGGCAGGGTGTGCCGAGTTTCTGCACCACGCTGACGAGACCTTGAGAATGGACGGTCACAGGAAGCCAAGTTACAATGTCATCCCCCTGCCCTCAAATCCAAGAAGTACACACACATAACAGGGAGCCCATCGTTTTAACGACAAATGACAGCAGCATGAATCTGCCGCTTTACCCCACAGCAGGGCGCGTGCGTGAAACAAATTACTCAAAAGGATCGCCTGCAGAAAAACCCACAGCCACCACCACTTAAGAGATGGAGAGAGGCCCGAGGCTGCCCCGCGGGTGGTCCGCGCAGGCCCCGGTGCGGCCGCCGCGCCCACGCCCGCCTCCCGGGCTCGGCCGCCCGCCAGCCCCGCGCCCGTACCGCCCCCGCCACCGGCCGCCCAGGTGCCCCAGGCCAGGACCTGACGCGCAGGGCCCGGCCGCCTCGCCCCGCCGGCGCGCGGACGCAGCCTCCCAAGAGCCGCTGGCTCAGCCGGCGCCCGCGATCCCGGCGCCTCTCGCGGCCCGAGGGGCGGGCCGACGCGGGACTGCCGCCCCCCGCGTACGGCCAATCGCAACGAGGCTGCTCCGTGGGCGCAGCCAATGGGGAAGAGGAGCCCTTCGCCGCTCCTCCCGACTCTCCCGCTTCCAGCAATCCCGCTTATCTTCCTACTTGGAGCGCCCTGGCTGCGGCCAAGGCCAACAGCGGGCGCCGGAAGGCGGGATTTCCGCCGCACGCACGCACTCCCGCACTCCCACGGGAGACTGCTTGGCCCGGAGCGCTCTTGATCACGCCGCGGCGGGTGGTGGCGCTCACACTAACTATAGCTATCCAGGGCGCCGGTCGAGTGGCGAGACCAGCTCCCCTGGGTATGAGAACGCATCTTTGTGCGGTCGGCTGGCTGGGGCCTGAAGAGCTTCCTCCTGTGTGTTCAACTGAACGCAGCAAAAGTCTTGGGCAGATTCCATGGAGCAGCTGTGGAAGCACTGTGCAGGGAATCGAAGAAGGAAACACCTCCAGCGACCACAAAACAAAATTGAAGAACTATAAAACAATATAGGCCGGGCGTGGTGGCTCACGTATGTAATTCTCAGCGCTTTGGGAGGCCGAAGCGGGAGGATCCCATGTTGCCAGACTGGGCAACATAGCAAGACCCCATCTCTAAAAAATAAAAATAAAAAAATTTAACAATTAGCCAGGTGTGGTGGCACACACCTGTGATCCCAGCTGCTCGGGAGGCTGAGACAGGAGAATCGCCTGAGCCTGGGAGATCAATGCTACAGTGAGCTTAGATCGTGCCACTGCACTCCAGCCTGGGCGACAGAGTGAGATCCTGCCTCTAAGAAAGAAAAATAACGGCCGGGCGTGGTGGCTCAGGCCTGTAATCCCAGCACTTTGGGAGGCCAGAGCAGGTGGATCATTTGAGGTCAGGAGTTCAAAACCAGCCTGGCCAACATGATGAGACCCCTTCTCTACTGAAAATACAAAGATTAGCCAGGTGTGGTGGCACGTGACTGTAATCCCAGCTACTCGGGAGGCCGAGGCAGGAGAATCGCTTGAACCCGGGAGGCGGAGGTTGCAGTGAGCCGACATTGCACCACTGCACTCCAGCCTGGGGGACAGAGGCTGCACCACTGCAGCCTTGACTTACCGGGTTCAGGTGGTTCTCCACCTCAGCCTTGCCACTAGCTGGGACTGCAGGCACATGGAACCACACCTGGCTAATTTTTGTAGTTTTTGTAGACGGGATTTTGCCATGTTGCCCAGGCTGGTCTCGAACTCCTGGGCTCAAGTGATCCGCCCGCCTCAGTCTCCCAAAGTGCTAGGATTACAGGTGTGAGTCACTGCACTCGGCTAATAGTAATGAACTTTGAACAGAAGGAAAGTTGTTATTATTTTCTTGGTTATGTTCTATCTATATTTTCTAATTTTTCTAAACATGTAAAGATAAAATTCTAAAAACTCAGACCTCAGAACAAAAAAATTAGAGTATAAATATTTATTTTAGTTAACTTGTACAAATTTGGTTTCTGGAAAAAGAATGGAATAGATTTTCTGAGAAAAAAAATCCACCACTTTGGCCGGGCGCAGTGGTTTACGCGTGTAATGCCTGCACTTTGGGAGGCTGAGGCGGTGGATCACCTGAGGTGAGGAGTTCAAGACCAGCCTGACCGACATGAAGAAACCCCTGTCTCTACTAAAAATACAAAAATTAGTCAGGCCTGGTGGCACGCACCTGTAATCCCAGCTACTCAGGAGGCTGAGGCTGGAGAATCGCTTGAACCCAGGAGGCAGAGGTTGCAGTGAGCTGAGATCGCACCATAGCGCTCCAGCCTGGGTGACAAAAGGAAAACTCTGTCTCAAAAAGAAAGAAAGAAAAGCAGACTGGCTGAAAGGATTGAAGAACAAAATATGATCCACCAATGTGCTATCTACAAGATAAACATTTTAAATACAGAAACAGATTGAAAGTAAAGGGATACAAAGATACAATTAAAATAGTAACCAAAAAAGAGCTGAAGGGGCTGTACTAATATCAAATGTAATACACTTTAAATTAAAGCAGGGCTGGGCATGGTAGCTCAGGCCTGCAATCCCAGCACTTTGGGAGGTGGAGGCAGAGAGACACTTGAGCCCAGAAGTTCGAGATCAGCCTGAGCAACATGGCATAATCCCATCTCTACAAAAAATACAAAAATTAGGCGGGCATGGTGGTACCCACCTGTGGTCCCAGCTATTTGGGAGGCTGAGGTGGGAGGATCATGTGAGCTGGGGAAGTTGAGGCCGCAGTGAGCTAAGATCGGGCCCCTGCACTCCACCCTGGGCAACAGAGCGAGACCCTGTCTGAAAATAAAAAAAAATAAAAAACGGGGTTGAGAGACAAAAAAGGACATCCTTTTTTTTATTATTGTATTTTGAAATGGAGTTTCGCTCGTTGCCCAGGCGGGAGTGCAATCGTGTGATCTTGGCTCACTGCAACCTCCGCCTCCCGGGTTCAAGTGATTGTCGTGCCTCAGGCTCCCGAGTAGCTGGCATTACATGTGCCTGCCATCACGCCCAGCTAATTTTTGTATTTTGATACAGACGGGGTTTCACCATGTTGGCCAGGGTGGTCTCCAACTACTGACCTCAGGTGATCCACCTGCCTTGGCCTCCCAAAATGCTGGGACTACAGACATGAGCCACCGCGCCAGCCGAAACCTTCATTTTAAAAAAGGCTGGGTCAGGCATCATGCCTCATGCCTGTAATCCCAGCACTTTGAGAGGGCAACGCAGGCAGATCACCTGACGTCAGGAGTTCGAGACCAGACTGACCAACATGGTGAAACCCCGTCTCTACCAAAAATATAAAAATTAGCCGGGTGTGGTGGCACACACCTGTAATCCCAGCTACTCAGGAGGCTGAGGCAGGAGAATTGCTTGAATCTGGGAGGTGGAGGATGCAGTGAGCCGAGATTGTGCTACCACACTGCAGCCAGGGTGACAGAGTGAGACGCCATCTCAAAAAATAAATAAAGGCTGGGTGCCAGATGTGGTGCATAGGCCTAGTTTGTTGACTCCTGTACTTAACATATAAAACTCTAAAGAACAGTGGGAAGGAGCTTCCCTCTAGAGGCACAGGAGCGGCCAAGTTGGTCCCTGAGCAGTGACTTTATAATAACATGTTACACTGTGTTTTTTGTTTTTGTTTTGTTTTTTGTTTGTTTGAGACGGAGTTTCGCTCTTGTTGCCCAGGCTGGAGTACAATGGCGTGATCTCAGCTCAAAACAACCTCTACCTCCCAGATTCAAGCGATTCTCCTGCCTCAGCCTCCAAAGTAGCTGGGATTTCAGTCATGCAACACCATGCCCGGCTAATTTTGTACTTTTAGTAGGGATGGGGTTTCTCCATGTTGGTCAGGCTGGTCTCGAACTCCTGACCTCAAGGGATCTGCCCGCCTCGGCCTCCCAAAGTGCTGGGATTACAGGCGTGAGCCACCACACCCAGCCTTTATTTTTTTCTTTTTTTTTAGACACAGTCTGACTCCGTTGCCCAGGCTGGAGTGCAGTAGCACGATCTTGGTTCACTGTAACTTCTGCCTCCCAGGCTCAAGCGATTCTCCTGCCTCAGCCTCCCAAGTAGCTGGGATTACAGGCATGCACCACCACATCTGACTAATTTTTGTATTTTTAGTAGAGATGGGGTTTCACCATGTTGGCCAGGCTGGTCTCAAACTCCTCACCTCAAGTAATCCGTCCGCCTCGGCCTCCCAAAGTGCTGGGATTACAAGGCGTGACCCACCGGGCCTGGCCCTGTGTGTTGTTTTATGTATGTTTCTATATGTGTTATATTTCACAATAAACTAAATATTAAAACAAAGAATAACTGATAGCTATGCACAAAGGTATTTAAATTTCACCCTCACAAATAATTTTTTTTTTTTGAGACAGGATCTCACTCTGTTACCCAGGCTGGAGTGCAGTGGCACCACCTTGGTTCACTGCAGACTTGACGTCCCAGGCCCAAGCGATCCTTCTACCTCAGCCTCCTGAGTAGCTGGGACTACAGGCACACTCCACCACACCCACCTAATTTTTGTATTTTTGGTAAAGATGGGGTTTCACCATGTTGGCCAGGCTGGTCTCGAACTTCTGGGATCAAGGAATCCTCCAACCTTGGCTTTCCAAAGTGCTGGTATTACAGGCGTGAGCCACTGTACCCGGCCAAGAATAGTTTCTTCTCCTTACCTAGGTAGAGACCTCTGCAGAAATGCTGGGAGATCTTTGGAGAGGGGAGATTTTTTAAATAAAAAATTTAATACTTGGAGGGGCGTGGTGGCTTACCCCTGTAATCCCAGCACTTTGGGAGGCCAAGGCGGACAGATCAGGAAGTCAGGAGATTGAGACCACCCTGGCTAACACGGTGAAACCCCATCTCTACTAAAAAAAATACAAAAAATTAGCTGGGCATCGTGGCGGGCGCCTGTAGTCCCAGCTACTCGGGAGGCTGAGTCAGGAGACTGGCGTGAACCTGGGAGGCGGAGCTTGCAGTGAGCCGACATCGGGCCACTGCACTCCAGCCTGGGCGACACAGCAAGACTTCGTCTCAAAAAAAAAAAAAAAAATTAATACTTTGGGATGCCAAGGCAGGTGGATCACGAGGTCAGGAGTTCAAGAACTGCCTGGCCAAGATGGTGAAACCCCGTAAAAATACAAAAATTTGCCGGGCTTGGTGGCAGGTGCCTGTAATCCCAGCTATTCAGGAGGCTGAGGCAGGAGAATTGCTTGAACCTGGGTGGCAGAGGTTGCAGTGAGCCAAGATAGCACCACTGCACTCCAGCCTGGGCAATAAGAGTCAGACTCTGTCTAAAAAAAAAAAAAAAAAAAACTGATCTAGTTCAAAACCTCACTTTGAATCCACCCACATTGCTCTAAAATACTTTCATCTTTCCTGTGGCTAAAACCTTAAAGCCTTGCCAGTAACTCCCATTGCACTTAAGGAAATCCAATCTCCCTTGTTGTGGCCCCTGAACAGGCTGCTGCTGGCCCACCACGGTGCCTCTAGTTTGTGTAAAATGCATATGTTAATTTATAATATATGAGGCTTTTTTAGCTCTAAAAGGCTATTATTCACTAGTTGCTGTGTGAATCAGTATTTCTGGGTGCAGTTAGAAATTATTAGAGTTGATGCCCAAGACTCATCTCCATCAGCACGGGGGAGGCATCTGCTCGTTTTATGGTCAGTGACTCTGGGCCTCCTGCTGGGCTAAGTCCTGAGGTGGGTCTGACTCAGGTCAGAGCTGTGCACCCCGGCCCTCCTCCTCAACGTGCATGAGTGCTCTTTAGGATGGAGCTGAACACTGGCTTCTCAAAACCACTTGGCCCCATCACAGGCCCTGAGAACTGATTGGGTCACTCTGGTGGGCTCCCCAGCCCTAGCCAAGAAGGGTTTCTCTAGGGAGCCTGGCCCCCCACTTATGAGACCTGGAGCCCCAAAGATCCTGACCAGGGGCCTGCCTCCTCCAGGGAGCGGCCACTCGCCCCCACCAAGCTCCCTTCACAGAGACCCATCCAACAGAGCTGAGGAAAACCATGCCTCATAAATGAATAAATACATAAATAAGAATGCCGGGGACCTGTGGATTTTGTAATTCCTGAAAGAAGGCAGAGTGGCTGGCTCACAGCAAGCGCAGTAGGAGATACTGCTCCCCGGCCAGGCTGTTCTCTGTCTCTTTGGAGGGAGCCCTAGGGTACAAGAAAAGCCAGAGGAGACCAGCTGGCCCAGAAGGTGCCTCTCCACCCCTTCCCCAGAGTTTCTGGGAAACAAAGCCCACCCGAGGGACACATGCCTTCTTGGGAGTTGTACCAGGCCTCCTTCCTCATCCAGCCATGCAGTGGTTTTCAGTGCCCGAAACAGATGAATAAAATAGGCCCTTTACGGGATGTTCTTCAGGAACATGCACACTTCTTTGGATCTTACCATCGTTTTATCTCTATTTAAAGTTAAATGCTGTGTTATACAGAGTATTGGTAAAGATGTAGAGCTACAAGAACTGTCAAGCTGGCAGTAGCATAAAATTGTATAAGCACATTGGAAACCTGTTTGGCAGCTTCTACTAAAGCTATATCTATGCCTACCTTCAGAAATTCCATCCTAAGCATGTACACAAGAGAAACGAGTGCATATGTCCACAAAAAGACTTATATAAGAATGTTCACTGCCATTTTTATTCATAAGAGCCCCAAATGAAAACAACCTAAATGTCCATCAACAGGAGAGTGAATAAATGGTGATACAGTCACATCATGGAATACTACACAGCCAAAAAAGAAAAATGAAGTGGTAGGAACACTCAACGACATGGGTGAATAGAGGGAGCCAGGTATGAGAGACAGTGCACAGTACCAGCCCACCTAGATGAAGCGCAGGAAGGCAGAACTGACGATGATTGAAGTCAGAAGGGTAGTTTCCTTTGTGGGAAAGTGTAGGTCAGGAAGGAGCCTTCTGGGGTACTACAAATCTGCCGTATTTTGGCTGGGTGCAACAGCTCACACCAGCACTTCGGGAGGCATAGGCGAGAGGGTCACTTGAGCCCAGGAGTTAGAGACCAGCTTGGGCAACACAGCGAGATCCCATCTCTACAAAAAAATTAAAAATTAGCGTGGCATGCTGGTGTGCACCTGTAGTCTCAGCTACTCAGGAGGCTGAGGCAGGAGGATTGCTTGAGCTTAAGAGTTTGAGGTTGCAGTGAGCTCCCAAAGTGCTGGGATTACAGGTGTGAGACACTATACCAGCCTGATTTTTAAATACTGACCAAGCCTTGTGTTACTGGGATAGGCATCACTTGGCCACGATTTACTACTCTCTTTCTTTCTTTTTTTTTTTTTTTTGAGACAGAATCTCACTCTGTCACCCAGGCTGGAGTGCATTGGTGCAATCTCAGCTCTCTGCAACCTCTGCCTCCTGGGTTCAAGCAATTCTCCTGCCTCAGCTTCCTGAGTAGCTGGGATTAGAGGTGTGCACCACCACACCTGGCTAATTTTGTTTGTTTGTTGTTTGTTTTTAGTAGAGATGGGGTTTCACCATGTTGGCCAGCCTGGTCTCCAACTCCTGACCTCAAGTGATCCACCCTCCTTGGCATCCCAATATTCCTATGATTACAGGCGTGAGCCACTGCGCCCGGCCCTATTCTGTTTCTATATTGCTAAATTTGACTTGCTAACACGTTTTTGAGGATTTTTCTGTTGATGCTCATCAGGGATGTTGGTTTGCAGTTTTCTTTCTTTGTATTATACTATCTCGTCTGGCTTTCTGTCAGGGGAAAGCTGACCTTATACAAAGTATTGGCATGTGTTCCCTCCTTTTCCATTTTCTCTAAGGGATTGTGTAGAATTAGTGTTATTTCTTCTTTAAATGTTTTTGAATCCATCTGAACCTGGAGATTTCTTTCTAAAAGATTTTACGCCGGGCACGGTGGCTCGTGCCTATAATCCCAGCACGTTGGGAGGCTGAGGCAGGTGGATCACCTGAGGTCAGGAGTTTGAGACCAGCCTGGCTAACATGGTGAAACCCCGTTTCTACTAAAAATACAAAAAATTAGTCGAGCTTGGTGGCGTGCGCCTGTAATCCCAGCTACTCAGGAGGCTAAGGCAGGAGAATCACTTGAACCTAGGAGGCAGAGATTGCAGAGAGCTGAGATTGCACCAATGCACTCCAGCCTGGGTGACAGAGTGAGACTCCGGCTCAAAAAAAAAAAAAAATTTTTTACAAATTCAATTTATTTAACAGATACAGAACTATTCAGGTAACCTGTTTGTTTCTAGGAGGATTTTCCTGGTTTGTGGCACTCGGACATTGCTTTATTTCATCTAAGTTGTCTGATTTTTAAGTGTCAAGTTTTCCTTAGTGTTCTCTTGCTAACCGTCTGAAGTCTGTGGGGCCTGCAGTGATGTCCCTTCATTCATTCCTGATACTGATAATTTGTATCTTTTCTGTTTTTTTCTTTGTCAGTTTTCCTAGAGTTTTTCAATTTTGTTGATCTTTTCAAAGAATGATCTTTAAGTTTCATTAATTTTTCCCTTCTTTTTTTGCTTTCAATCTCATTAGTTTCTGCTTTTATCTTGGCATTTGTTCCTTTGGCTTGTTTTGCGTTCACTTTGCTCTTTTTCTGGTTTCTTAAGGTGGAAACTTAGATTGCTGATTTAGACCTATCTTTTTTGTAATATATAATGATTTGATGCTATAAATTTTCCTCTAAGCAGTGCTTTAATTAAACCCACAAATTTTGGTGCATTTTCATTTATGTTCAAAATATTTTCTAATTTCTTTTGAGAATTGTTCTTTGACCCATGGATGATGATGATGATTATTATTATTATTATTTTTCTTCAATACGGAGTTTCACTGTTGTTGCCCAGGCTGGAGTGCAATGACATGATCTCGGCTCACTGCAACCTCTGTCTCCTGGGTTCAAGCGATTCTCCTGCCTCAGCCTCCTGATTAGCTGGGACTACGGGCACCCGCCACCATGCCCGGCTAATTGTTTTGTATTTTCAGTAGAGATGGGGTTTCTCCATGTTGGCCAGGCTGATCTTCAACTCCTGGCCTCAGGTGATCCCCCCAACTTGGCCTCCCACAGTGTTGGGATTACACGCGTGAGCCAGTGCGCCCGGCCTGACCCATGGATTATTAAGTATGTTGTTTTATTTTGAAGTGTTTGCAGATTGTTTTGTTAATGATTTCTAGTTTAATACCATTGTGATTGGAGAACAAACTGCATATGATTTCATTTCTTTTAAATTTGTTAAGATTTATGTGTCAGGTTATGTTCTCAGTGAACATTCTGTATGTGCTTAAAAAGTATATGTATGGTCTGTATATGTATGGTCTGTATATACATATATGTATACATATATGTGTAAAAAGTATATGTATGGTCTGTATGTGCTTAAAAAGTATATGTATGGTCCAGCACTTTGGGAGGCCAAGGCAGGCAGATCACAAGGTCAGGAGATCGAGACCATCCTGGCTAACAGGGTGAAACTCCGTCTCTACTAAAAATACAAAAAAAATTACCCGGGCATGATGGCGGGCGCCTGTAGTCCCAGCTACTTGGGAGGCTGAGGCAGGAGACTGGCTTGAGCCTGGGAAGCAGAGCTTGCAGTGAACTGAGATCGTGCGACTGCACTCCAGCCTGGGCGACAGAGCTAGACTCCATCTCAAAAAAAATAAAATTTAAAAAAAGTATATGTAAAGTGTATGTATGGCCGGGCACGGTGGCTCACGCCTGTAATCCCAGCACTTTGGGAGGCCAAGGCAGGTGGATCACGAGGTCAGGAGATCAAGACCATCCTGGCTGACATGGTGAAACCCCATCTCCACTAAAAATAAAAATTAAAAAAATAATAATAATTAGCCAGGCGTGGTGGTGAGCACCTGTAGTCCCAGCTACTCAGGAGGCTGAGGTAGGAGAATGGCGTGAACCCAGGAGGCAGAGCTTGCAGTGGGCTGAGATCCCGCCACTGCACTCTAGCCTGGGCGACAGAGCGAGACTCTGTCTCAAAAAAAAAAAAAAAAAGTATATGTATTTTGCTGTTGTTGGGTGAAGTGTTCTATAAATTAGATCCAGTTTATTGAAGGTGTTCTACAGTTCTCCTAGATTTTTGCCGATTACTTGTTCTCTCACTATGAAAGGTATTGTGTGTGTTATATGTGTCTAACAATTCATTGTCTAGTTAGAGTTGCTATTATACCACTTCAAGTGGATGGAGAGCCTCACTGCCATCCATTAATGTGCATTAATCATTTTGAGAGTGAAAAGATTTTTTAAAATGTTTTTACTTTTTTAGGTATGGCCAAGTGAGATGGGGCTAGTGAAATGGGTGGGAGAATTGGAAGCTGATAGTGTGTGAGCTAGACACCCATGAATGCTTTTCCACTGGGCAGTTAGAGGGATGATAGGTAATAATATAAGGCAGCTCCATCACACAAGCTGGTGACTCCTGTGCGACAGACCAAGAGCTGCATTTGGAGATTCATTTCCGATTGTTGCGTTTCCTCTTAGAGCATTGCTTGGTCATCGTGTTCTGAGTGGTCCATTGGCCTCCATGTCCCTTTTGGGGTGGATATTTGCTCAGTGACTTTTGAGCAGCTGGATCTCCTGCTTCGGCAGGTGAGTGAGGGGATGGATGGCTCCGCGGACTGGCCCCCGCCCCAGGAGAAAGAGTGCGTGGCCGTGGCAACGCTGAATCTTCCCCGACTTCAGGTATTCGTGATTTCCCTTCCTCTTGCTCCTTTTATAAGTGTCTTAGCGATTTGTAAGAAGGTTTATGTATTCTGAAGGACATAGGTTTTAGCCTGTTGGGGGAAGTATTTTAAAGTAAGATTGTAATGCACTAATAATGGACGCAAGGCTTAAAAAACTTGATCTGTTTATTTTATGTTTGTCCTGGAAGTCAGCCTCGGCATGCAGGAAGAGTGTATATGGATTGTGTTATTTTTGCTATAATCATTAGTTTGTTGGTATTCTTACTGTTTTACTGTTGGTGCGTGTGGAGAAATGACTGGGTGAGATCACAGGTGATGGAGAGAGACAGAGCTCAGCTGAGAGACCAGTGCTGGCCTGTCTCTCCTCTGTCCTGTGAAAACCCTGCTCCAGGAGGGTCCAGTCTTTTGGTTTCCCTGGGCCACACTGGAAGAAGAATTGTCTTGGGCTACACATAAAATACACTTATGATAGCTGATGAGCTTAAAAAAAAAATCCCAAAAATATCTCATGATGTTTTAAGAAATTTTACTTTGGGCCACATTCAAAGCTGCCCTGGGCCACATGCTGCCCTCGGGCCGTGGGTTGAACAAGCTTGATCTACTCAGTAAGCTCGGCTCCCAAAGCAATACCTTCCTTTCCTCACCATGAAGGCTGTGGTTAGGGTCACAATAAAAGCTACAAAAGCCTTCCTCCCTAGCAAAACTAAAGCTGAAGTGTTTGATCATCATCTTTTGTCTTTGTAATAAAACCCTCTAACTTAATGACAAGAACCACGGTTTTCTCGACATAGTAATTTTTCCCTTTTATTACAGTGGTTTCTTGTAACAACCCGTCATGTCCCTCTTCCAGCCCCTCCCCTTTTTGCCCTGCTTCTAGAATGTACAGAACTGAGTGTAGTGTTTAGTTGCAGTAATGAACTGAGCAGAGGTCTGGAGCATGCTTCTCCTCTAGTCCTCTGTAGCACTCATTTATCACCATACCTGTGGCATCCTGGCGTTTGCGTGGTTGCGCCCCAGGTGTTTGCTGCCCCTCCTGGTTTGCGGTGATGTGTCTGTTCTGGTCAGTGCTGTGGGGCGTGGCCTTGCGTATGTCTTAGGCTGTCGAGGTGTCCCAGCGTATGGTTTTGCATTTGCCTCTCCGGGGTCCTGAGGGTTCTGTAGGTTTCACAGACTCCAGGTGAGTTTCGGTGGTCATTTCCTGACCTGTGATATCTATACCTAGATGAGTGGTGTGCTTTTGATTTCACTTCTACTCACAGGGCAAGGCCGGGTCTCTGATTTCTCATGGGGCCTCTTGCTACCCAGAGCCTGGGACGGGCAGTGTGTTGCCCCCTGGCTGCGGTTGGCTGGCAGGCAGGTGATCCTGAGTGGCTCCCAGCCTTCTGCAGGAAGCTCGGGTTCAGTGGGTCCTTGTGTGCATTCCCGTGTGGGAGGTTGTGCTGAAGCCTGGCGGCTTGGCTCTGCTTTCAGAGCCCGGAACCTCTTGACTCCTGCTGTGTGTGCCCATGTGAATTTTGGTTTTGCACTTGAGGAGTTTCCCTGTGTACTCTCAGCTCCGCAGTCTAATTTTTAGCAGCTCTTTTTTTTTTTTAGACAGGGTGTCACTTTGTCACCCAGGCTGGAATGCAGTGGTACAGTCTTGGCCTGCCAGGTTCCAGTGATTCTCCTGCCTCAGCCTCCCAAGTAGCTGGGACTACAGGTGTGTACCATCACACCCGGCTGATTTTTTTATAGAGATGGGGTTTCATCATGTTGGCCAGGCTGATCTTGAACTCCTGATCTCAAGTGAGCTTTCCCGTCGGCCTCCCAAAGTGCTGGGATGACAGGCATGAGCCACCGCCTGTGGCAGCTTTTGTGGTTACATTGTAGCCATTATTTCTGTGTTTGGTGCAGATTGTTGGGGCGGGGTGGAGGTTGCTGTTGCTAGTTGTTTAGCTCTTCTGCTCATCTTGAGCTTTTCCATATATGTGTTCATAGCGGGGTTAAAAAAAATTCCTCTAGAAAATATTTCAACTATTGTGGGTAAGAGTTTTTTTAGTCCAGTTTTTAAAAATACGTAAACTGAGAAGTTATTTTGTCTATTTAAATAATACTTCAAATTGACTTTTATTCAGTGTTTAATAAGACTTTGAAATTCACTCATTTTTAGGGGTTCTAAGTGAAAATTGTTTTTCTCCTTTCAGTTGCATGCTGCCATTAGTCACCAGGTTGACCTGGAATTCCTTGGTTTAGGTCTGGGCAGCGTCTTCCTGAACAGCCTGAAGCAGAAGGTGGTGACCCTGGCAAGCAGCGCAGACGTGCTGAGCACCGTGCAGTCGGCCTCCCAGGCCATGCTGCAGAGCGGCTGGTCCATGCTGTTGCCCACCGCTGAGAAGCAGGCCCGGGCACTCTGCTCTCCTGTCCTGTGGAGGTGGGCTCGGGGAAGGAACAGGAGAGGGCATGGGTCAGGGTGCTGGGAGGGGATGGCGTTTCACTCAAATTGGCACAGACTTTCTATTTCAGTTTCAGGCAATGAAGTGAACATAAGTCCAGGTCATCGATTGGTGATTGATCTTCTGGTGGGCAGCTTGATGGCTGATGGAGGGTTGGAGTCAGCCTTACACGCAGCCATTACTGCAGAGATCCAGGTATGGCCTTGGAGGCACACGTGACCTGGTGGTGGGCTGAGATCGGAAATACCACACTCACACATGTGAAGAATAACTGAAAACAGTAAAACACTAAACTTATATCCAAGTATTTTTTTAAATTAAAATTCTTTTATGTGCTAATTTTAAAAATTATTGAGATGATTTGTGATAAAATACTGCATGTTGTCTGTTTCAGTGAAGTTAACAGGTAACCTGTTCCTCATGTAGACCATTCCCGTCACCCGGAAAGATCCCTGTGCTCCTTGGCACTTGCAGCCAGGATACTCCCCTGCCCTGAGATTAGATTCATTTTTCCTGCTCTGAGTGTCGCAGCAATATAACTGTATAGTATGCACTCTTTCCTGCTTTGCCTTGGAGAATGATTTTCAGATTCACTCACTGTTGTGTGTATTGCGACTTCGTTTTTATTATTGGGAAGTTTTCCATTTTATAGGTGTAGTACTGTTTGTTAGTTCATTCTCCTATTGAAGGACATGTAATTGTTTTTGGTTTTTGTTTTCTTTTTTTTTTTTTTTTTTTGAGACAGGGTCTTGCTCTGTCACCCAGGCTGTATACAGTGACCTGAGGTTGGCTCACTGCAGCCTTGTCCTCCTAGGCTCAAATGATCCTCCCACCTCAGCCTCCTGTGTTGCAGGGACCACATACATGTCACCATGCCCGGCTAGTTTTTTGATTTTTTTGTAGAGACAAGGTTTCACTGTGTTGCAAGGCTGGTCTTCAACTCCTGGGCTCCAGTGATCCCCCCACCTTGGCCTCCCAAAGTGTTGGGATTACAAGCGTGAGCCACCGCGCCCAGGCTTTCTGGTTTTTGGCCGTGTAGAGCTGCCACAATTGTGCTGTGAACAAGTACTTTAGTGAACATATGTTCTCCCTTTGGATAAACACTTGGAGTGGAATTTGTTAGGTCCTGGGGTAAGTGTGTGTTCATAGTTTCCCAAAGTGGCTTTGCCATTTGCATTTGAACCAGGACTTTTGTGTGTGAGAATTCTAGCTCCTTCTTGTCCTTACAGAGCAGCTGGATGCTGCGTGTGTGGAGCCGATCACATTGGGTTTTGTGTGAGCCATTAGCAGGGTTAAGGATTTTAGGGACTTCACAGAAGGAGGCTGGAGAGCATCAGCAGAGGCAGCCTGGACCTTGGATCTGTAAAAAGAAGACACTGTTTGAAACTGCACAAATGAGTTGGGGTTTCCAACAGGGCAGGTGGGGGGCCTGTGGGTGGATGGGTGTGGCAGCCACAGAGGCTGGGATAGCTTGGCACTGGGGTCAGGGCTCAGCCAGCCTGTGTGCCTTCACACCTGGTAATGAGATCACTTGTAAACAATTTCTGTTTGTCAATTACAGGATACAAAAAAAGAAGCACGGAAGGAAAAAGAAATTTATGAACAGGAGGCAAATGCCTCAACATTTCATAGAAGGAGGACTCCATTGGATAAAGACCTTATTAATACGGGGATCTGTGAGTCTTCTGGCAAACAGTGTTTGCCTCTGGTTCAGCTCATACAACAGCTTCTTAGGTAAATCATATTAGCTGTATTGTATTGTGTTTTATTTATTTACTTTTTTTTTTTTGAGACAGAGTTTCGCTCTTGTTGCCCAGGCCGGAGTGCAGTGGTGCGATCTTGACTCACTGCAACCTCCGCCTCCCAGGTTCAAGTAATTCCTCTGCCTCAGCCTCTCGAGCAGCTGGGATTACAGGCATGCGCCACCATGCCCCACTAATTTTGTAGTTTTATTAGAGACAGGGTTTCTTCATGTTGGTCAGGCCGGTCTTGAACTCCCGACCTCAGGTGGTCCATCCACTTTGGCCTCCCAAAATGTTGGGATTACAGGCATTAGCCACCACGCCTGGCCTATTTATTTACTTATTAATGGTGTTTTTTGTTTTTTGTTTTTTTTTTGAGATGGAGTCTTGCTCTATCGTCCAGGCTGGAGTGCAGTGTCACGATCTTGGCTCACTGCAACCCCCGCCTCCTGGGTTCAAGCTATTCTCCTGCCTCAGCCTCCCGAGTAGCTGGGACTACAGGCGTCTGCAACCACACCTGGCTGATTTGTGTATTTTTAGTAGAGATGGGGTTTTACCATATTGGTCAGGCTGGTCTCAAATTCCTGACGTCAGGTGACCCACCTGCCTTGGCCTCTCAAAATGTTGGGATTACAGGTGTTAGCCACTGTTCCCGGCCTGTATTGTATTTTAATAGGTGATTATTGGTTTTCATATTAAGATAGTGAAATCTAGCGCAAGGGTCTCAAAAATTTGTTTGATGATTGAAGGAATATTCTGAAAATTACCTAGTATAGATGTTAGGATAAAGAGCAGACCCTTCTCAATATAGGTGAGAGGAGAAGTTGGAGGGTGTGATGATACTCAGAAGTTTTTCACAGAAGAGAAATTGGGGCGTGCGGTAAACATGTAAAAAGATTCTTACTAATAAGCAGGTAGGTGCGAATGAAAATCATCATGGAAGGTTATTTTTAAAACTGGTTCTATCATTGCCTCACTTTACATATTACAGAGTTGTACCTACTACTTTGTAAGATAACTTTTCTTTTCAAAACTGAAGTCAATGTGATAGAATGGTGAGCATTATTTTGGAAGGCCAGACTAGGAGGAGGTGGGAGGAGGAAGTCAGACTCAGCCTGTGAACAGACGCTAACCTTGGCAGAAGCCAAAACAGTCAGACAGTGTTGTGTAAAAATGATCATTCAAGAAGAGCGAAACAGCAAGGTGATTTGTGAAAGAGATTTATTAGAAAATGAAACACATTTATACCTCTGTTCAATAAAAATCTGCTTTTCGTCAACTGATGCTCCTGGTTTTTGTTTCTACACATAGAGAAAGCAGAGCCCTGGCAGCTTGGGTCAGGCAGCCGAGTACAGACCAGGGAGCCCTGGGCAGTGGCTGCAGCTCTCAGCTGGCCTGTTCATGGGGCCATGGTGGGTCTGTGGCGTGGGGTGGGCCCGTGGCGTGGGGTGGGCCCGCGGCGTGGGGTGGGCCCGCGGCGTGGGGTGGGCCCGCGGCATGGGGTGGGCCTGCTGTCCACAGCCAGCAAAACTAACTTAGTGCACACACAGTGAAATTTTGAAACAGGAAGTTTTAGAGCTAGTTTCTGTCATAGATTTTAGTAAATGCTATTTTGCAAAACCTTTTTCTGATGTTTGTTTTGTTTTTCTAATCTGATAATGCATATTTCACACATTCTGGTCTTTAACAAATGGAAATAAAGAGAACTAAACAATATAGTTTGTGTCGATGGAAAGAGCTTGGGATTTGTTCTCAGAAAATTTCAGTTACAACAGTTTGTTCATATAGGTGGACTTCCAACACAGTAACTATAGGAGTAAGAATAAAAGCTGTGTTTACTTTCACAGAGTTAATTAAGAATACATGAGAAAATGGATGTTAAAAACCTTGTAATTAAAATGTACAGTTACATGCAAAGTTTTAAAGTGAGCATTTTCCAGAGGTGCTTTTCTAAGTTCTTGAATGCCTCTCCCTTTTCTGAAGTGGCTGCTTCGTGGGGCTGTTGGTCTTTGGCAGGGGGTGAGTGCAGGGTTCCTGTTGTGGGTCCTTTGTTCTCACGAGGGCAGTGCCCGTTTTCCCCGTCTCCTGCTTGCCCAGACTGTTCCCGTGCGCAGAGAGACTGGCCTGTTTGACCTGCAGCTGTGCTGTTTGAGCTGCAGCTGTGTAGCCTGCGCTGGCCCATCTGGCTACACTCAACACCGTTTGCTGATCAGCACTTGAAGTCTGTCCGTCATAGCTGAGACACTGAATATTTTATCTGTTTAATTTTTATTCATTAAAATGCAGGTTTGAAAATTTGATTCTGTTATTAGAAAGCACTTAAGTATGTTTAGAATCACTTGGCCTTGGGAGTCTACTTTGTCAACTGTGTATTTTATGAGTCTAAATGGAGATCAGATGTTTTCAATGCAAATTTCACGGTCCAAATTGAAATGTGTTACATATGTAAGCTACTCAGATGGTTTTTGAGGACTTAATATGAAATAACCTATGTAAAATATCTCAATAATTTTTCTTAGATTGATTTCATGTTGAAATGGTCATATTTTTGATCTGTTGGAATAACTATGATACATTATTAAAATTATTTTTATTTTTTAAGATGGAATCTTACTCTGTTGACCAGACCGGAGTGCAGTGGTGCAATCTTGGCTCACTGCAACCTCCGCCTCTTGGGTTCAAGTGATTCTCCTGCCTCAGCCTCCTGAGCAGCTGGGACTACAGGACTACAGACTCCCGAGCAGCTGGGACTACCACCACGCCTGGCTGATTTTTGTATTTTTGTAGAGACAGAGTTTCACCATGTTGGCCAGGCTGGTCTCGAACTCCTGACCTCAAGTAATCTGCCCGCTTTGGCTTCCCAGAGTGCTGGGATTACAGGCATGAGCCACTGCAACCAGCCATTAGTACAATTAATTTTATGTGTTGTTGTTTTTCTTGTTGGTGTGTTTTTTTTTTTTTTTTACTTTTGTTAATGTGACTAAGAACAATTTTTTTTCCCCACCCGGAGATGGATCCTCACTCTGTTGCCTGGACTGGAGTGCAGTAGCACGATCTCAGCTCACTGCAGCCTCTGCCTCCTGGGTTCAAATGATTCTCCTGCCTCAACCTCCTGAGTGGCTGGGACTAACAGAAGCATGCCACCATACCTGGCTGATTTTTGTATTTTTAGTAGAGATGGGGTTTCACCATGTTGGCCAGGACGGTCTTGAACTCCCAAACTCAGGTAATCTGCCCACCTCAGCCTCCCAAAGTGTTGGGATTACCGGCGTGAGCCACCGCACCTGGCCATGTTTATTAATACGACTAAGAACATTCTGAATTGCACCTGTGGCTCCATTGGTGTCCTGGGCAGGTGGCTCTGTGCTGTCCACACAGGTTGTCTCCTGTGTCTTCGTCTTCGCTGCGTGTGACTTTTTGGTTCCTGTGGCACGTGGGGTCCTGTATGGGACATTGGTTCTACAGCAGATTTATAGTAAGGATGTACCTACTAAAAAATACAAAATAGAAAGAATAGACACAAACATAGAAATAAGTATCACCTCACAAAAATTTTGGAAAGTAGAAAAAGAAAAATGCATTCGCAGCTTTCCAGTAGCCGATATCCAGGCTGTCTTCATAAGCATGGATCATGTGTCCCTCTCCCGCATGGGTAGACACTGTTTTCTCACCTTAAGTGTTTGTGAGTGAAGGATTCTTGATGTGTTGACTTGGCAGATGCAGTTGTTGAACAGTAGTTTATCTAAAGATCGTAAGAGACTTTTGGAGACATTTCATGTCCTTTTTTCCCTTGGAAAACGTGAGTTGGAGAAATCGCTGCTTGCCAAAAATAAGCCGTGAAACGTATTTCAGAGTAGATCGTTATTTACTTGCTGGCGAGGAGCCACAGAATACCATTTACATTTGAAAATAGAGCGCTGCAAAGTTTTTATAAGTAGTGAATCCCATCAGAATTACACATTTTGATTATGGCTCTAAATTTTATATTAAATAAACTAAAAATTTCATTGTATTGTATTACCGTCTCTTGCTCCTTCAGGTGTAGCATACATGCTAGATTCTAGACCTGTTTCTTGTGTTACAGTGGTGTTATCCAGGCAGGGTATCATGTAGTGAAGGTGATGTCGAGTGGTGGTGGTGAGCCCAGTGAAGGCGCATCCTTGCCGTGTGTGATGAGGGCCTGTGGGTTGCTATGGGATTCCCCAACCCTGGCTCCTCTGTCTCCTGCTTCTGTCCTTACTCACACTGCTGGTAGTTTTCTGGTGTGAGACACGGGGGCAAGTGGGATTGACAAGCCTGCTGTCACATTAGGAACCTGAGTTAAAGTGGAGCTGAAAGCATGTCCTCGCTCTTGATGTTGTGCAGAGAGCCACCTGTGCTCCTGGCTCAACGGGGCGGGTGTGGTGGGTCTGGAACCAGGCCCTGGTTTGGCTCTCCTCCCCTCCATGTTCCCCTGTCCTGTCTGATTTGCTTCACACTGACATAAGAGTTACTTTCCCTCGGCCTCCCAAAGTGCTGGTATTACAGGCATTAGCCACCGCGCCCAGCTAGCATCCTTTCAAGTACTGGGGTACACCCAAGCTCCCAGCTTCTAGCTAGGAGTCATTTTGTCCCTCTTTATCCCAAAGGACTTGCCACCATCTTTGGTTCCCAAAGCCCAGGAGGGTCCAGGCTCTTCAGCCTCCAACCACTTTGCATTTCTTGTCTGCTTTTCGTTCATGGAGATAATTAACTTATTTTTCAGCCTGGGCATGTCTTTTTTATTTACTTTATTTTTTATTTTTATTTTTTGAGATGGAGTCTCACTCTGTCGCCCAGGCTGGAATGCAGTGGCGGGATCTCATTTCACTGCAGCCTCTGCCTCCCGGGTTCAAGTGATTCTCCTGCCTCAGCCTCCTGAGTAGCTGGGACTACAGGTGTGCACCACTATGCCCAGCTAATTTTTACATTTTTAGTAGAGACAGGGTGTCGCCATATTGGCCAGGCTGGTCTCGAACTCCTGGCTTCAAGTGATCCTCCTGCCTCAGCCTCCCAGAGTGCTGGGATTACAGGCACGACCACCGCACCCAGCCTTTATTTACTTTGTATATCTCATCTATTACTGCTGCAGTTTGCAGAAGAGAGGATGCCCTCAAACCTAACTTCTCCAAACCATCCCAAATGGGAAGTCTGCTCCACGTCAACAGCATTGTTGCTTTTAAAGACTATACGTCAACATGGCAGATTATAGCAAAAGGATGTCGAGGGAGCAATAGGAAAGCAAGCCTGAGAGTCCTGGAGAGAAGGTGGCAGAGCTGCCTTTTGAAGGTGGTTCCTTCCTCAGACCCTGCCCTTCCTGCCTTGTTCCTCCAGTTGCCAGATTTGCTGTTGGAGCTCCTCCACGGGCGAAGAGGTGAGGCTGGACTGAGAGGGAGATGGAGAAGCTGCCAGAGATTCTTTTGGATCTAGAATTGAGACAGCAGTTCCAGCCAGGTCCAGAGGTGGGGGCTGTCACCCAGCCCCCAGGGGAATGGTACTGATTGCAGAATGTGGCGAGAACTCCCTGGCTGGGAGAGGGAGGTGCTTGCTCCCTTGAATCACCTGAGCCCAGGCTGGAAGGCCCAAGGGGGAGGACGAGGCCAGCTCACTCCAGCTCCATCCCCTCCCTTTAACCCTAAGCTAGTTAACCCTCCCAGACTCCAGTCCTTTTTCCTAAGTGCCCTCCCTGCAAAGTCTGCACCGAGCAGCGCTCCCTCGCACCAGCTCACCCTGCACTGTCTTGTCTTTCAGCAACCCCATGGGTTTGAACTTGAGACGATTCATTTTCCTAAAAGCCTCTTTGGGCTGAGGGAAGGCATGGGTGGCTCTGCCAGTTTTGGAGTGGGGGCCGACTCTTCTCAGAGCCGCTGCAAGGGCCAGGGCCACCCTCCCAGGCGGGTGTCTCCGGGCTGGGCAGCAGCTTTGTAGGCAGCCTGGGTCATCCCCACTGGCCTGGGAAGCTGGGGGTGCACCGGCTCCTGCTCCTGATAGGGCCAAGGCACCTTCCTTACCTAAGAGCTGACTTTCTTGAAGAGTGGGCACAGAGGAGCCGGCAACCTGGGCTGTGTAGGCACCCAGGAGAAAATCTGCAGCTCAGTATCAGAAGTCTCCACCAGCACGGCTGTTGCAGAGATGGGGAAACTGGGCTGAGAGGGAAGGGGGCTTGCCCAAATCACCAGCCCTGGAATGTTTTGAGCTTTGGGGGTGGATCTCCCAGGAAACGTGTTTTATGGCACCACCGCCTCTGGTCACCCACCCCGAGGTGTGGCGGGCCTGGACAGCCAGCTTGACTGAGGGCCAGGCTGGTGAAGTCAAAACTACCACTCAGGAAGAAGACCTAGCCCTTCTCCAGACAGAGTTCAAATGTGAGGACTGCCTTCTTTGGGCCTCAAATTCCCCACGTGAATTCCAAGGACCCCTCTAGCTCCTACACTCTGGGCCAAGGTTTCCTCTGAGCCGCAGTCAGCCTAGAGGACCTAGGATACATCTTCCTTGGACAGAGACCCACCATAGGGGCAGCAGGAGGTAGGGGTGGGGGTAGGCAAGATTCCTGTGGGGAGGTGGAGCTGTCATCAGAGATGGTGTCTGCAGGCAGTGGGTGTATCGTGGCTCTGCTACTACTTGCTGGGTGGCCCCATGACGTTTCTTTCCCCACTCTGACCTCAGTTTCCCTATCTGTTCTGTGGAGATAAGATGCCTGCCTACATATTTGTGGACTGGGATGTGTGTGGGCCAGTTGCAGTGTTTCTTGGTGTGGTCCTGGGGCAGGCTGCACCACCCCATAGAGATTTCTGGGCCCCACCCTAGGCTCACAGGACCAGAATCTCTGGGAATGAAGCCTGGGAATTTGCATTTCCACAGGCATCTGGCTGATTCTGACATGACTGAAAAGCACTAATAGTATATAGCAAGCTCTTTATAAAAGGTAAATTCATAGCTGCCTTTTACTAAACATAAATCTTACCTTCCCTTCCTCAGTTAAGGACACACACCGCAGTTGAAAATCACTGTGCCTTTCCAGATGCAGAGTCTGACCTTTCCGATAAGATTCTGTTAACTGCTGCTTTCTGCAGTTTGTATTCCAAAACAAGGGGAATATGTTTCCATTTTTTCAATACAAATGTTTAAGTCGGATATGCTTTCTCAAACTGGACACACACTCACACAGCTTAGGGTTTCAGCTATGGCTTCCTCTCAAATTATTAGCCTCTTTCTGCCAGGGAGCAGTTTTTCCCAGACAAGACCCTGGACAGAGGTTGGTGGGGCCCTCCTCATCAGAATCACTAGATTATGACTGACCCCTAGAGGTGGCTTTTCTGCTTAAGTGTCAGCCCATGGGCTGGGTTGTGACCCCCAAAGCTGCGGCAGAAGCTTCCACCCATCCTGGGTCCCCCCTGCCATCTATGGGGAAAGGCCTGTCCCTTGTCTTCTGGGCCCAGCCGGCCTCACAGGCATTCAGCAGATTGGAAAGTCGAAGCATGTGCTGTGCTTGGCTGGGCTCTCCTGCGCCCCTTTTTGGGGTGAGGTGGAGTGCATCCAGCCCCCGGCATCCCTGCCGTTTATTCCCACCCCTCATCCCCACCCCCATACACACTCACAAGTACAAACACAAGCACAGTCACTGGCACACACCACTCTGGACAGCACCATTTCCAGCCTCAGCGGGGCAGTTTCCTTACAGGGAAGTTAATGAGGCACTAACGAAGGCTCAGGGGACAGGGGGAACCTCTATCGAGAAGAGGCTCCTAGACCTGGTTCTGCCTCTGAATTGCTGGGGGTCCTTGAGAAAGTTGCTATCCCTCTCTGGTCTCAGTTTCCTCAGGTGAGAAATGGGGGGCCGGCCAAATGGTCTAAGGTTCTGGGAACCTCTAAATCAGAGCCCGTAGCTGGTGGTCAAGATGAGGGAGAGGCCCTCAGGGTCAGCCGAATGCCTGAGAGGCAGGACAGGCCCAAAGGTGAGCAACGTGAGCACATCAGGTGGGCTCAGAGCTGGCGCATGAGCCCCACAGCCTGCAGAGCAGCCCTGTACTCGGGAGCCCGCTCACACCCACCCAGTGGGACTTCAGAGATGTGGGGTCCAGCCTTTCCTACTATTGCTGGGCTGAGGGCTGGGAGCTGCAGATTCTGACCCCACAGCTGCCTTAGACATGCCAGATGGTCTGGGGCAAGACACACCCCTCTCTATGAAATGAGCAGCCAGTCCAAATAGGTACATTAGAGAAGGGCTGTGGGATGGACCCAGCTGTAGCCTGGGGCTACAGACTGGCTTCCGGGGTACTCAAGCAGCTGGCCTCTGGGGTAGCAGCCCCAGGTATGAGAGGCAGGACTCAGAATCTAGGCCAAGCCTCCATAGGAATCCCCTCTGGAGAGCCCGGGCACTCTGCAGGAGGGGCAGCAGGCAGCAGGTGCACCAGGAGCATGTTTCACAAGGTGCCCAATATCGCATCTGCTCAGATAGGCAGCGAGTTGGAAAGTGGATGCAATAGGCAGGGTGGCGGCTGCTCCCCACAGCCAGGAGTCCGGCCCAGCACCCACCTGAGTCCGCCTCAGTCCTGCTCAATTGGGTTATCCGTGCTCTTGGCCCTCTGGTCCCACCCACAGAGGGAGGTCTTTGGGGCGACCAGGTGAGCTGGCCCTTGTGGGAGGATGTAACTGACTCCTGAGCCTGGCGAGCCAGGCAGCCCCTCGCCAACGTCCCCACCCCTACCTCTCCAGCCCCCCCGCATTCCCTGATCCTCCCATCCGCTCCCCTGACCCAGCAGTTGCCTCTGCTCACTCTCTTTTCCTGCTCCCAGGCTCGCCTGGTCATGTGTCCTTCACTCTCCTCTGAGTCTCCCTCTTTCCAAGCCGCCTCCACTCTACTTGACACACTCTCCCTTAAGACACCAGAGTACACAAGCGCAAGTCTCTGCACCTCACCTTTACTCCCAGACATGGGAGGGAGATGACATGAAGACCCAAACGCCACTTAGCAGGAGATCTGGGGTATGCAGAGGGGCAGAACGGAGGCTGTGGAAGCTCCAGGGGCTCCCTGCAGGAGGCCACATGTAAGCTGGCTATTGAATGTGGCTCTGAGCTGAGACCTCTCCTTGAAGCTCCAGACCAGGGGCCAGCTGCTAGCTGGACCCCTCCATTTGGTGCCTCAGAGAAACTTTGCACTCTCTAGGTCTAACTTTGAACCCAGAAAATTCCCCCATGTCGGCCCTGTCTCTTCATAGGGAAAGCACCACCTCAGACCCAGTTCTGCACCAAACCCACATTTGAGTCACGAGGCTCCTGCCCTGCACTGTGAGCACTCTGGATAAGCCAGTGCTGAGGGGGAAAGAGCTCTGAATGCCAAGCCAAAACATGAGCTTCAACTCCACCTCCAGCTCTGAGAGCTGTGGGTAGGGAAGGGCCCTCGTCCAGTTTGCTGTAGAAAGACCAGTCTGCCACTGTATGGCACATGGATGGCAGGGGCAGAGTGCAGGTGGAGAGAACAGAAGGTGGGCAGGGCGGGGGAGGCAGGGACATGGCTGTAGCCGTGGAGATGGGAGGACAGACAGGACTTGGTGGCCACTTGGGTGAACCAAGGGAGGAGTCAGGAAGAGACACCCAGTTTTGTATCAGATGTGTAGAGCGTGGGATGCTGTTCATTGACGGAGGGAGGAGGAGGAGGAAGAGGTATGGCATGGGGAGGAGGTAGCTGAGCTCTGTCGTGAATGTCATTTGAAGTCCCCAGGGAAAGCCAGGCCGGCCAGCACCTTCACTGCTTCAGCCAGCTCTCAGGGTGTCTGTGCTCCCTGGCCCTCTCAGCTCCTGCTTCATAGCTGTCAGCTGCAGTGGGAGACAGCTGCACAAGGGCCCAGCATGTCTGTGTGTTTACCCAGGGGACTGCCGCATGGCCCATGCCGAGCAGAAACTGATGGACGACCTTCTGAACAAAACCTGTTACAACAACCTGATCCGCCCAGCCACCAGCTCCTCACAGCTCATCTCCATCCAGACGGCGCTCTCCCTGGCCCAGTGCATCAGCGTGGTAGGTGCAGAGGGTACCTGTGGCTCAGGCTCAGGTGAAGAGGCAGCTCATGCCCAAGCCCTAAGCAGTCAATGTCCAGAGGAATGAAATGACTAGAGTTGACTTAGACTCACCGGTACACGGTGGGGAGGCTGGAGGAGGGTCCATGAGGTTTATAGGTGTCCAGTATTTAATGAGGTCATGGTTTTGTTAACAAAGAAGAAATGAGGGTGGGAGCGAGATCACCACTGGCTAGGCAGCCAATGGGCCTGCAGAGACTCTGCTCAGCTGAGTCTCCAGCACGACCATGAGCTTCTCATCCTGATCCTCCCATCCCCACCCTACTTTTCTCCCCCAGCTTGCTCAACAGGTGACCTTACAGGCTCCCTACTCTTTGCAGGGAATAAGAACCAGACTGGGGGAACTGACGGGTACAGAGGCCCAGGTGTAGGCGCAGGACCACAGGCAGTGAAGCGTCTACTGACCCAGGCGGGTGAGGGTCTGGAGAGTGGGCATGGCTGCTGCAGGCATGGAAAGCAGGCACAGATGGCGGCACTCCCAGGGCCCATTGTCAGGGTCTCCACATGTGGACGTGTGCAGAGGTGGGGGTGCTGAAGGAGGAGGGGCAGGGAATTTCTCATCTTCTCTCTACTGCCTCTGAGTTGGAGATGTCAGAGGGAGCCATGGCCCACTGTAAAGTAACACAATGTCCCCACCCACAGGATTAGAACCCCTCCCCTGGAAGCAGCTCTGAGGGGAACAGTCACATGTAGAGAGTGCAGGGCACTGTGTCCAGCCGGGGGAAGGAGGTCACCAAGGGGGTTAACCCCCCTCTGGCCAGGTGGCTGCCTTCTGACACACCAGCCTCTGTCTCTAGCACGGTGGCCCCCACACACCCAGCCTGTGAAACCTACAGCCCTCAAGAAGGCTTTGGCCAAATTAAGGAGCGGCTCCCTCTCCCAGGAGGAAGCACAGGTGAAGGATGTGGAGGGCAGTAGAGTTGTGTGTGCTCCGCCCCCTTTCTCCACAGTCGGATGGAAAGAAGGGGGCTTTCAGCCAGGCTCGCCCAGGCTGGGGTCTGAGTGTCACTGTCCAGCTATTGGCTTCTTGCTTAATGGGTGAGCCCAGCTGCTCCCGTGCAGCTGCCGCCCTAGTGAGGGTGAACCGGCAGGCGAGTTACATTTCTGAAAGCCTGGGAATACAGTAAATATTAGGCTGTGGGCTGCTGGGCCAGGAAGAGTTGTTTATTTTTCAGGGTTTGTTTATCTATTGACTTGATGAGGGAGGGTTATAGGTACAACCAGTTTAAAGATGGAAATTTTGAGAGAGCAGGCAGGGATTTAGTGCTGGGTAAGCCTGGTCAAAGCGGCTCTTTTGGGGCGGCCAGAATCCAGTACCAATGTCCTCAGCATGTTCATCAGCTGCTGGGGGAGTGCGGGACAGCATGAAAGCACAGGAGAACTTTCTGGATGATAGAAATACTCTGTATCTTCAAAGGAGGTGGGTTCCATAGTAATGTTAAATGAGTTAAAACTCATCAAAATGTAAACCAGACCTGTGCATTTCACTAATAGAAATTATACCTCCAATTAAAAACATGTTTTAAAAGACAGATGGGCCGGATGCAGTGGCTCATACTTGTAATCCCAGCACTTTGGGAGGCTGAGGCAGGTAGATCACCTGAGTCAGGAGCTCGAGACCAGCCTGGAAAACATGGTGACATCCTGCCTCTATTAAAGGTATAAAAAAAAATTAGCCAGGCATGGTGGCACACGCTACGCGGGAAGCTGAGGCAGGAGAATTGCTTGAACCCAGGAGGCAGAGGTTACAGTGAGCAGAGATCGTGCCATTGCACTAGAGCCTGGGCAACAGCGCAAGACTCCATCTCAACAACAACAAAAAAAGGACAGATGAAGGTTTTCAACTTTCAGTAAAGGCAGAGGAGCTTGTTACAGATTCGCCTCCCCACAAGAGCAGTTAGAAAAACTGGATAAAAATGTGCCCCGCCCCCAATCAAAAACAATTGTTGGAAGGTAATTGGAGACCTCAGTCAGGACTTGAGTGACCAGGCCTAGGAGGTGATCCTGACAGTCTGTAGTGCTTTCCCACATTTGGTGATTGGTCAACAGTAGAGGGCTAAGAGGCTAAGAAACTGAGTATGAAGTGGTAGTTAAGAGGCTGGAGAGCCTAGCTGAATGTTTGGCACTCTCACAGGGCTGAAATGACCTAATGAGAATTTGGGTCCCAGGAAGGAGATGGGACCTTGGTGGGGACCCTGGAAGGGCCACCCCTGGGAGTCCAAATGAATAAAACATAGACCAGCCATCAGAAAACCTAAAACCTGCTTTGAACCAGCTTAGTCCCAAAGTAGATGAAGGCGATCTGCCCTTACTCCAATTGTGTGCCATAAACTCAAAGTCAATACTCTCTGGAGGCAGATAAAAGTTTACTATGAATGTCAAAAGACAACACAAGACTAAATGAGAAAGACCAAGAAGAAAACTAATAGAAACATACATGTAAGGAAGAAACTTTTTTTTTTGAGACGGAGTTTCGCTCTGTCACCCAGGCTTGAGTGCAGTGGCACGATCTCAGCTCACTGCAACCTCTGCCTCCCAGGTTCAAGCGATTCTCCTGCCTCAGCCTCCCAAGTAGCTGGGATTACAGGCATGCGCCACCATGCCCGGCTAATTTTTGTATTGGCCAGGCTGGTCTTGAACTCTTGACCTCAGGTCATCCATTTACCTCGGCCTCCCAAATTGCTAGGATTACAGGCGTGAGCTACCATGCCTGGCCAGTATTTTGCCACAATTTAAAATAAATAAAATTTTTTTTTCAGGTTTGTGCTCAGACTATATTCTAAACAGTCACATGGCGGCTTACTCTTCTCCAGGCCTTGCTGCCGGCTTTTACATGTTTATTGTCTTTGCCTTCTTGTCATGTGCTCATTAGATGGCAGCTTCCAGGTGCTCCTAAGGGGCCAGGAAAGAGAGTGAGAAGGCACGGAGGTTGCCAGATCATCCCCCTTGGGGCCCCGCCCTCATCAACTCCCTCAACCGGGTCTCCTGCAACTATTGGTGGGCCATCTCGGCCACCGCTTCGCCCTGAGCTTCCTGCTGCTGCAGCTGGGCAGTGCCTCCTTCTCAGAGGCCAGCTGCTGATAGGCGGCCACGTACTGCTGCAGGTGACCCAGGTAATGGTCTCGCTGCTGCTGCAGACTCAGCCTCTTGGCTCTTCAGCTCCACCTGCAGGATAGGCGTCAGGGTAGGTAGTGGCTGGCTTCCAGATTCTGGGCCCATAAACAGGGTAGTGAGGGCACTGCGGGGCTCTGTCGCCTACCCAGGCCCCTGGCCCTGGCCCCTTCCTCCAGGCCTAAATGACTGCCTCCCTTGCCTAGAGGCCCATGCCTCCCTCCCCAGCCTCAAATCTCACACCCTTCTTCCCACCATTTAAACTGTAGGCCACAGACTGGTGGAAAAGCAGAGGGAGCCAACCACCATCTGCTAAGTTGTGGTGAGGTCGTTCTGTATGATCTCCAGGGTTTGCACACACCTCCGCCTGCTCCCCCCAAGAGCTCGACCTTCTGCCCCAGCTTCCCCAGCCTCTCCTCCAGCTCCTGCAGCCTCACCTGGTGTTCCTGCATCTTCTCCTCCTGCTGCCGCAGCCTCACTTCCTGCTCCCACATCTTCTCCTCCTGCCTCCGCATCTTCTCCTCCTGTTCTTGCATCTTCTCTTCCTGCTCACACATCTTCTCCTCCTGCTCCCACATCTTCTCTTCCTGTTCCTGCATCATCTCCTCCTGCTCTCGTATCTTCTCCTCCTGCTCCCATATCTTCTCCTCCTGCTCTCGTATCTTCTCCTTCTGCTCCCGTATCTTCTCCTCCTGCTCCCTTATCTTCTCCTCCTGCCTCCGCATCTTCTCCTGTTCTTGCATCTTCTCTTCCTGCTCCCCCATCTTCTCTTCCTGTTCCTGCATCATCTCCTCCTGCTCTCGTATCTTCTCCTCCTGCTCCCGTATCTTCTCCTCCTGCTCCCTTATCTTCTCCTCCTGCCTCCACATCTTCTCCTCCTGCTCCCGTATCTTCTCCTCCTGGTCGTGCATCTTCTCCTCCTGCCTCCACACCTTCTCCTCCTGCTTCCGTATCTTCTCCTGCTCGTGCATCTTCTCCTTTTGCCTCCATATCTCCTCCTGCTCCCTTATCTTCTCCTCCTGCCTCCACATCTCCTCCTGCTCCTGCCTCTTCTCCTCCTCCCGTATCTTCTCCTGCTCGTGAATCTTCTCCTCCTGCCTCCACATCTTTTTCTCCTGCTCCCGTATCTTCTCTTCCTGCTCCCGTATCTTCTCCTCCTGCCTCCACATCTTCGCCTCCTGCTCCTGCCTCTTCTCCTGCTCGCGTATCTTCTCCTCCTCCTGCCTCTTCTCTTCCTGCTCCCGTATCTTCTCCTGCTCGTGCATCTTCTCTTCCAGCTCCCGTATCTTCTCCTCCTTCTCCCACATCATCTCCTCCAGCCTCCGCATCTTCTCCTCCTTCTCCCACATCATCTCCTCCTGCCTCCGCATCTTCTCCTCCTTCTCCCACATCATCTCCTCCTGCCTCCGCATCTTCTCCTCCTTCTCCCACATCATCTCCTCCTGCCTCCGCATCTTCTCCTCCTGCTCCCGTATCTTCTCCTCCTGCTCCCGTATCTTCTCCTCCTGCTCCTGTATCTTCTCCTCCCACTCCTGTATCTTCTCCTCCTGCCTCCACATCTTCTCCTCCTGTTGCTGGTTCAGGCGGTTCCACAACTCGTTCTCTTCCACCTGGGCTTGGAGCTTTGCTGACACACTCTGCAGCTCCTTACCCAGGTGGTCAGCCTCCGCCTGCAGCTGCTGCTGGAATAGTGAAAGTGTTTTTTTGAACCTCAGAAGGAAGCAGAATCATGAGCTAGCCACATAAATGTAATCTATAGGCTGGGAGCGGTGGCTCACGCCTGTAATCCCAGCACTTTGGGAGGCCGAGGTGGGCGGATCACGAGGTCAGGAGATCGAGACCATCCTGGTTAACACAGTGAAACCCCGTCTCTACTAAAAATACAAAAAAATTAGCCGGGTGTGGTGGTGGGCACCTGTAGTCCCAGCTACTTGGGAGGCTGAGGCAGGAGAATGGCGTGAAGCCGGGGGGTGGAGCTTGCAGTGAGCCGAGATTGCGCCACTGCACTCTGGCCTGGGTGACAGAGTGAGACTACTTCTCAAATAAATAAATAAATAAATAAATAAATAAATAAATAAATGTAATCTATAAAATAATGGTTTTCATCCATGATCCTTTAAAAAAATATTTTTAAGCCCTAACTCTTGAGATTCTGATTCCCCAGGCAGGGCCCCAATTTGTACATTTTTAGTACACTCTAGAGGATTCTATGGCGGGACCAGAACAAGGACCCAAATTTTCCAGCTCTTGGCTGGAGCCTCCCCATACCCTGCATGATCCCTAGACCATGGTCCCAGCTGGATGGGTCTCCCACAACCCCCGGGGCTGCAGCTGCTCACCTGTGGCAGCAGGAGCTTGGCCCTCTCCAGTTTCCTTTTTAGCTCCTTTACGTTGAGCTGGATCTCAGACTTTTCAGATTCTACAAGTTGAAGTTTTTCTTGTAGTTTGGCATTTTTCTCCTTCAGCTCCTCATCAGTTATGCTATGGCCAGAGGCAGTAGAGAAAGGAATGAATGAAGAACATAAAAGACCACTTTGGTGATTGACCCCCTACCCTCGCCCCACAACCACAGAACCGTGGCGCTGGAAGGGACCCCAGGAATTAAAAGTCCCAGGTGGCAGGCCAGAGAGAAGACATGAGTTGCCTGAGGCTACCCCATGAGTCAGTGGCACAGCCAGCACTAGAGCTTCCGTGTGCACACATGAAAACATGTATGAGCCTCTCCCCACACTCACCTGGACCCCCCACCTCCCAGCACACCACCCATGCTAAGGGCCCCCAGACCTCCCATTCCACCTTCCCCCATCCTACGTGTTCCTGTACAGTTCCAGACTCAGGGCGTCCCTCTCCTTTGTTAACTCCTCAATGTACTGCAAATAGAGAAAGGTTAAGTCAGGATAGAGCAGGCACAGCAGTAGCTGGACGACCAGGAACAACTGCTACGGTGACTACTCCACAGTAACACTTCCTCACTCTCAATCACACCTGACGTGTTCTCAAGGCATTTCCAAGCCCATGGTCTCATTTGTTTTTCTTTCTTTCTTTCTTTCTTTCTTTCTTTTTATTTTTTTTTTTGGCAGAGTTTCATTCTTGTTGCCCTCACTGGAGTGCAATGGCACAATCTCAGCTCACCACAACCTACACCTCCTGGGTTCAAGCAATTCTCCTGCCTCAGCTTCCCGAGTAGTTGGGATTACAGGCATGTGCCACCACACCGGGCTAATTTTGTATTTTTAGTAGAGACGGGGTTTCTTCGTGTTGGTCAGTCTAGTCTTGAACTCCTGACCGCAGGTGATCCGCCCACCTCAGCCTCCCAAAGTGCTGGCATTACAGGCGTGAGCGAGAGCACCTGGCCCTCATTTGTTTTTCAAAGAACTCAGTGAATGTGGAAGGGACAGGGAAAGAGATTGAATTTAGAGCTGGCTAACAGGGGCCCAGAGCGATCAGATAATATTGTTATTGCTATTACTGTTAGTACTACCACTGTTCGAACCTTTCTTGAGTGCTTCACCAGGCACTATGCTAACAATCCCATTTAATCCTCACAACCTCCATAGGAGATGGTTACCATTATTACCTCTATTGTGTAGATGAAAAACATGCGGTATTAAAGGTTAAGTGCTGCCTAAGATCACTTGGAGCTGGGATTTCAACACCCAGGTATATCTGATTCTCTAAGCCCATTCTTCCGCTGGAGGTAGGGGCACAGTTAAGAAGGAGGAAATTAATCCTTTGTTGAATTTTTGAAAGGATGATACGTTCGCATAGTCCAAAACTCAGAAAGTCCAGAAGGGAAATATCTCCCCCCAACACTGTGCCTCTATCCTGAGTTTTTTAATGAATCCTTACAAACGTGTTTTATGTATGTTACCATAATACGTACACACACACACATATACACCTGCCCCCTCTCTCCACACAAATAATAACATACTCAAGATACTCTTCTGTACCTTTATGGTACAAGTACCCTAACCGCCACTTAGGACTTGGCCAAGGCCACAGCCAAGTATGGGCAGGGCGGGCACTTGGCCTCTGAGCTCTATGTCCAGTGCTCGCTCCCCACAGTGCTCCCCAACTCACCCACAACAGCCGACTCAGCCCCAGTCTGCCTCTAACAACCACACACAAAAGCAGCAAGAAATGGCCATGCTGCCTTCTGGGCAGGACACTCCATCCTACAGAAGGGACCTTTAGGCTCACTCCTCCATCTGCGAAGCTGGGCTCCCAAGGGACGGGGCCGTGTTTGGACTCACCCTATCCGCCTTCTTCTTCTGTGTAGCGACAGCAGAGAGAGCCTGCTCTAACTCTCCTGCAAACTTCCATGAATCATGCAGGCGGCTGATCAGATCCCTGGCCTCTCCTGGAATGAGAGACATTCAGATGTGGCCCAAAGGACTCCCCCTAAAGGCCTGTCAAAGTGCCAGGTTGAAGGATGATGGGGTGCCAGATTCCCACCTTCCAACTGCTTGACAGCATGCTGGCTGTAGTAGAGTGCCATCTGAAGCTCAGTTTTCTGACATGTAAGGATTCGTATGGTATGAACCTGGGCCTTTGGGAGAAAAGACAAGCAAATGCTGAAAGAGAAGCAAAGAAACATTCTCCAGAGGGCAGGAGGGAACTTCACACCCTCCACTCACCTCTAGCTCCCTCCTTAGGGCTTCCTGATGTTGGTGGCTTGCCTTCTGTTCCTATAGAAAGAGGAAAACAGAGCTCTTGCTAGGTGGAGGCAGAGATGGCACAGCAAGAGACATGCCCCCAGAATGGCACCACTGCCCCAGAACAGGCCCACCCATGGGACCAGTTTATCAGGGACCCTGTGGGGATGGGGTGGAATCTTGGGGGTGAGCCTTCTTCCCCAGGCTGGGAGTGGGTGAGATGAGCCTGGGGCCTCTACATCTGAGTGCCCCCAAACCCAGCGGTCATGTCGTGAGCAAAGAAATCACACTACTTCTTCCAGCTGAGCTCGGTTCTATTGTTTCTGTGGGGAGAGTCAAAGGAAGGTGACTGAGGGTGGCCCCCTTGACTCTATTCCCCAGGCCAGGAAGCGATAGGCAGGGGCCAGGAATGGATTTAAAAGGCACAGTTCTCAGACCCAATGGGAACATGAACTGGTCAACTCTCCTCAACTCCCAAAGAAGAAGGATTTGGGTCTTTTTGGTTTTTGCCCACAGCCACAGAACTCAAAGTCTGAAACTAGATTCTCTTGAAAAGATAGTAACAGAAACCTTCAGAGGTGGAGTGCGAGAAAAGCCCACCCTTCTGCCAGCTTGTGATTTAGAAAGGTGCATTCACTCAGCAAACGTTGAGCACATACGGGCCAGGGACGGTTCTTCACAGCGGGAATAGAGGTCAGAAAAGGCAGACAGGAGCCCTTGGCCCCGAGGTTTCCATTCTAGTGGGCCTTTAACTCTCGGGCTCTCAGAGCTAACAGAAACCTCTGATACTCTCTAACTCTACCTCAGGAAACGCAAGCCCAAGAAGGAGAGTTTACAGCAGGTCCTGGACGAGGGATTAACATAAAAACACAATGACAAATCTCATTTAAACTTCACAAACGTAAGGAAAACAATACCACTCGTATTTTACGGATGTGAAAAGAGAGGCCCAAAGAGCTCAAGCAATTTGCGCTAAATCATATCCCTAGCAGATGGAGGGGTAGGATTCAAACCCAGAATTCTTAGCCAGTACCTGGCAGTTCTTCCACAATCTTAACAATTACCCTCCACCACCCCTTGGGCCCTCTGTCCCCAGGAGCCCGGCCAGCCAAGACTCACATCCTCAGGCGAGTGGCAACCACCAGAAGTGGTTGTCTCAGGGTTAGTGCCATTATTTATTTTCTTCTTTTTGGTGTCGCTTGCTGCTGTACCAACACTAGGGTTGGTCTGGGGATGATGGTCTGTCAACTGTGGAAAGGAAGAGCAGTGATACTCATGAGAACTACAAGCTCCTACAGTCACATCCTGCTTTACAGTTTATACTAAATACTCTTATAGACCATCTGATTTAATGCCACCAACTGTAGGAAATGTTGTCACAATCACTTAGTGACTGAGAGAGATTGATACCATGGCTGAAAAAAAAGGCAGTAATGGAACTTAAACTCAGTCTTCTGACTCTGAGCTCTGGGATTTTGCCCTAAATCAGCAGCTGCCAGGGACCAAAACCAGAGGCAGAGGTAGAAAAGCAAATATTAAGTAGGCAGGAACTGTGCACTATGTGGTTTAGGGTTATTCACCCTCACACGTCTGTTAGTGTTAAAAAGTACACCAGTACCTCTCAAACCTTTACATCAATGTCTCCTCATGGCAGAAGGCAGCCTTTCTGCTAAATCTGGGAATTTAACAGAAAGAGGACAACCCAAGCCTCATTTCAGAGAGAAGTCTTGTATACGCTTATAAATCTATGTGACTTTCATCCCTAAGTACATTAATGTTTTGCCTCTCAATAGAATCAAGGGAAACTGATGCTTCAGAAAGATGCCCCATATTTATCCTGTGGCACTCAAAGTACCCCAGGTTGAGATGAGATGAGGAAGACTCAAGCTAAGTTCAGTTTCCCAAGATCTGTTCCACAGAAGATAAGCAGATCTCACTCCAGAACCAGTGACTGAGGGGCACTCTGGTCCCAGAACAATGGAGAATTCAAATCTGAGGTGCAGAACTGAGAAAAAATGTTAAAGTCTCTCTGGAGAGTAGAAGCCTGGGAGAAAACCAAACCAAACCCATTCTCCCATTGCCACCCAGAGACACTGTCAACGTGTTGAGCTCATGGGGGAGGTGTAGGCTTTTCACACTGTCAAGGTCTGTGGTAAGGAAGTCAGGCAGCCTGAAACCTCTCTCTTCTAGGTCCCACAGTCCCCATTCCCCTTCCAGCTGGAAACCTGTGCTGCAACCAGAGGAAACAGAAGTGGGCAAGAACACTTAGGGGACTGGGTCCTAAGACCAAAGGCCGGTCTTGTGGTAGTAATGACAGTTTGTAGCGGGACTGTGACATCACTACATTCTACTCCTCGGTGGAGTGGTTGGGGGGGACACATGAGTGCAATGCCCAAGTTGCCGCTTTGAGACTGGGGAGGGGGTCACAAAATTGGGAGCCAGGTCCTTGGAGACGTGACCCCAAAGAGCCCCGGGAGGTCAGGCTTGGGGCGGCAGGAGGTGAGGGCCAATTAAGGAGCAAGGAGCTCCAGGAGTCACATCCCCAAAGTCACCCTGTGGCAACTGGTGAGGGCAGGTTCTGGGGCACCCAGGTCCTTGGAGATGTGAGCTCAAGGAGCCCAGGGAGGTCGGGTTTGGGGTAGCAGGAGGTAAGGGCGGAGTATGGAGTTGGAAGCCCCAGGAGTCACCTGCTCAAAGTCACCCTGGTGTGCCGGGCAGAGCAGGGGCAGGACTTATGAGGGGGTTGGGCTGGCTGACAAGATTTTGGTGTGGGGAGCCCAGAGGCACTGGGGTGGGGGGCCCAGCCTGGTGTCCCTCAGGAGTGGCACAGACTCTGGCAGCAGTTCGGCTGTCAGAGGGGGCCTCGGGTTGGGTTGGGGTGTTGGTGCGTTTACCTGTTCCTTGGCCTCGGCCAATTTGCTCTGTCTGGTTTCTTTGGACATCATAGGATGGGTAGGGAGGTGGGGATGGGTAGGGAGGTGGGGATGGGTAGGGAGGTGGGGATGGGTAGGGAGGTGGGGATGGGTAGGGAGGTGGGGTTGGGGCCACATCAGCATGATCCAGGTGAGGACAAGTATATACCTCCAGTCACCTCTACGTCGCTGTGTGACTGAGCCAGAGGAGGCGTAACCAGGGCTGCACTAGAATGCAGAATAGGGGTGTGGCCTTCATGCTTGAAGCCCATTGGTCAATGAGAAAGATGAAAGGAAAAGGAGGTGTGGCCAGACAGCAGCGTGTCATCAAGGACCTGTGTTGTCACAAGGAAAGCTGCCTATGCAACCGCTGTCCCCGCCCACTCCAGGAGAGGGGCGGGGCTGGCTTTCACTTTAAAAACTTTAAAACTTTATTACCTCAATTGAGGTACAAGTCCTATTAAAATGGAAATTTTATAGTGTGCTTGATGATTGATAAAGCAGACTTTATTATCCAACATTCCAATAAGATAATCACAATGTTTTCTCTTTTTTGGAAAAACTTTCTCTTATTCTCCTACATTAGCGTTTAGTTTTTTTAAAAAAAAACAAACAAACAAGAAACATGTCTAATATCTTTAAAAATACAAAGCTTTGAGCCAGGCGTGATGGCTCATGCCTGTAATCCCAGCACTTTGGGAGGCTGGGGCGGGTGGATCACCCGAATTCAGGAGTTCAAGACCAGCCTGGCCAACATGATGAAATCCTGTCTCTACTAAAAATACAAAAGTAGCTGGGCATGGTGGCAGGTGCCTGTAATCCTAGCTACTTGGGAGGCTGAGGCAGGAGAATCCCTTGAACCTGTGAGGCAGAGGTTGCAGTGAGCCAAAATCATGCCACTGCACTTCAGCCTGGGCTGCTACAGAACGTGACTCTGTCTCTAAATACACACACACACACACACACGCACAGACACACACACACACACGCACAGACACACACACACACACACACACACACACACAAGGCTTTCCATTTAATAAGCACTCAAAGTTCTTTACAAGGTTAAAGCAAATACAGGACCCTTCTAAAGTAAGGCTAAATGCTAAGTGATGGGGGAGAGAAAAAGGACATAAATAACTCCTACTCTCATGAGTTAATCACTAAATCCGATTTTTCTAGAATCACCTGGCCTCTAAGCCCTGAAAATGAAACTGAATTTCTCACTCGATACTTGGCTATGACTTGCAATCATGAAAACCAAGAATTGTGTTATGTCACTGTGTATTGCTTGTTACCTGGGATCAAGGGTTGACTTTTTCATGATTTGCTCCATTACCTGTGTGCTTCTTCTCCCAGTCCAAACTACGCTTTTTTCTAGAGTTCTACAATTTACAGTTAGTATGTAAGGGTGGCTCTCAAACATGTAGTCTCCGGACCAGGAGCACCTGGGAACTTCTTATAAATGTAAATTCTCAGGCCCCACCCTAGACATGAATGAATCAGAAACTCTGCAGTAGGGCCCAGCAATCCGTGCTGCAATAATCCCTCCAGGTGCTCAGGAACCTCTGCCATACAGCAGGTAGAAAAATGTGTTTCCTTCTGTAGGTCCAAAGCCAGGGATACTATATGTTCTGTCTCAATATGAAACAATGACATGCAATTAAAAGACATAAATCTCCTTCCTACTTCCACCCTCCAGCCAGTGTGTTTTATTTTTATGAGTTCAATAAGAAAACGTGTGGCAATCAGAGATTTCATCTAAAAAATATATCTACAGGTATCAGTTCTCATCCAGCCTGATCTCATCCAATATCATTTCTATCCTCTTACATCTAAAGTTTTAGAAAAGGATTTTCACAACGTAAGACTCAGGCGCACTAGGAGTTCTATGATAAAAGACCAAGTAGATCTGAATGTCCAAACTTACTAGAGAAGAAAAGTGGACTCATTGGCTATATTTTCAAATTGCATTCAACAGGAAATTAAAGTTTTGAATTTTTTCCACCTTCATCCTTCCAAGTTAATAGAATTAAACCAGAATACTCCATTCTTCCAAAGCCTGTAGCCAGGCAAACTTTTACTGTATTACTTCTTGCTTTTCAATGGATATAAAGCAGAGTCCTGGTAGGCACATTTTGTATACCTGCAAAGATGCAAAACTAAACAGTTCCCTCGGTTCAATATTAAAACAAAAGTCCTGTAAACCTCAGATGGTGAGTGTAATACTTCAGCACTAGCACGAAAGCCTCAAATATAAAAAGATACCAAGAACCTTGCTAGCAAACCAAAGTAAGCTCTTGGCTGGGAGCAGTAGTTCACGCCCGTACTCCCAGCATATTGGCAAGCTAAGGTGGGGTAAGTCAGGAGTTAAAGACCAGCCTGGGCAGCATAGCGAATTCATATCTCTACAAAGAAAATTTAAAAATTAGCTGGGCTTGGCGGCACACACCTGTAGTCCTAGAGCTACTTGGGAGGCTGAGGTGGGAAAATCACTTGAGCCCAGAAGTTTGAGGCTGCAGTAGCTATGATCATGCCACTGCACTCCAGTTGGGGTGACAGAGCGAGATCTAATTATTACATTCTGTCCTGCTCCTGTTTCCACTAAAATCACTAACTTAAAATGTGTTCATTCAGCAGGATAAAAATTAAGTGAAATTTGACTTTGGTGCTTTGCTAGCAAAAAATAAATAAATAAAGTGAAATGACAAATTACTTACTGGGAGAAGATCTTTGTAAACTCAATGACAGATTAAAGGTTTGTATCCTTAGCCTATAAAGAAATCTTTAAAATTACTCAGAAAAAAAAATGAATGATTTGCAGCAGAAAATGGGCAATGGAGAAACCAGCACTTCCCACAAGAATAAAAATGGCCAATGAGCAAATGAAAAAGATTCAAAAGCACTAGAAATCAAAGAAAGGTGATGAAAACAATGAGATTTTCTGCTTAAAGACCAGCGAAGACGACAAATGGAAGGCGGAACCTGGAGCTCTGTCCCTGTTGGTGGGAGCGTAAACTCAACCAATTTTCCTATAGGATGATTTGAACATTTGTTTTAAAAATCCTAAAACTGTTTTATATTATTTTCTTCTAGAAATTCTACTTCTATGAATTCAGTGCAAAAATCCTCACTCGAGTCCATTAAAATATATATAGAAGGAAATCCACCTCTGGGGTGGCAATGATTCACTTAACATACATCCAGCTGTTGAAAGTGATGATGCCAGGATATATTTCTCCCATAGAAACATGCTTAAAATATAGTAAGTGACAAAAGACCATGTATTGTGATTCTACTTTTTAAAATGTTTACAGCATAAAAAGTGTGAAAAGCAACAAACCGGAATGTTTTGAGTGGCAAAATTAAAGATTTTTCTTTACATTTTGTCATCCAAATTATTACAAAAACAATGTGATTTCCTTTATAATCATGGAAAAGTGTTATTTTCATTTATTTATATTTACATTTCTTTTCTTTTTCTTCTTTTTTCTCCTGTATGTATCCCACATAGGCTACAGAGCTTAAATCCCTGCCTCTTGAGAGAAATCAGCCCATTTTCAGGACATGCAATACACAAAGCTGCCCCATCTTCCCTTTATTTTTATTTTTATCTTATTTATCTTATTTATTTATTTATTTATTTATTTATGTTGAGATGGAGTCTCACTCTGTTGCCCAGGCTGGAGTGCGGTGGCGCATCTCAGCTCACTGCAACCTCCATATCCCGAGATCAAGCGATTCCCCTGCCTCAGCCTCCCGAGTACCTGGGACTATAGGCATGCACCACCATGCCCAGCTAATTTTTGTATTTTTAGTAGAGAGGAAGTTTTACCATCTTGGACAGGCTGGTCTCGAACTCCTGACCTCAAGTGATCCGTCTGCCTTGGCCTCCCAAAGTGCTGGGATTACAGGCATGAGCCACTGTGCCTGGCCTGTCATATTATTTCTAAACATTTGAGTGACATTTCAATTAAGTGAAATTTAATTCTTACTGACCTGATCTCTTATCCTCTGTTTAATGATACCTTCCAGTTGAAAGGTGTTTCCTCTGTAATCACGGGTGCCAAAGGAAATACAACATGTATTCATTAGGTGGATATCCACTAAACCACGGATTCATGCATTGTAGTCCTTAGACCCTCAGCATCAGAAACACGTGGGAACTTGTTAGACATGCAAATTCCTGGGCCAGCCCCACACCTCCTGAATCAGAAAGTGGGGAAGGACAGCTATCTGTGCTTTAATAAGCCTTGAGATGCTCCCTGAAGTTTGAAAACTACAGAACTAGAATACATATGGTAGTAAGTGCTCATACTTTATCCAAGGTACTAGGGACTCTTCCCCGCTTTTCCATTCTCTTTTCTGTTGAAATAAAATGAGAGCTCCTTTTGACTTAATGGGTATAAGAAAGAAGGCAATGAGATGACCAGGGTTTCAAGTTAGAGTTCAAAATTTAATCAGTGGACAGTGACAGGATGCAAGCCTTCTAAACAGATTGCTGCAAGGAAGCTGATTATAATCTATACAGTAGGTATCATTAGTGTATTGATGTTAAATTTTGGGGGTGGATTAATGGTATTGTGATTATATAGGAGAAGTCCTGGTTCCTAGAAGATATCTGCGAAAGTACTTAACAGTGAAATGCTCTGATACTGCCAACTTACTTTGAAATGATTCAGAGGGAAAAAGGGCACATATACAATCTTCCATACGCAGAAGACAGAAAACAAGTGTGACAAAACATTAACTAGTGAATCCAGTTGAATAGCATACAGATGTTCACTGTATGATTTTATCAACTTTTCTGTGTTTGCAAGTTTTCAAAATAAAAGTTGAGGGAAAGAAACATCACCCCAAATCTTTCTATGAAATGGGACCACAGAAAAAGCAGAGAAGTGAACACTTTGCAGAAAAGAGCACTGCACCCATCCGGACAGCATGGTCAAAGTGCAGGCTCTCCTCCAGGAGGCTCTTCTCTGGTCTCTTCTGTGCTGTCACTTCCCCCACATGCAGCCAAGGCTTTTTTCTAACAACTCTTTTTCTAAAGATGTAATTTTTGTCATTCATCTAAGAAAGAGAAGAAAAGAATTAGTATACATTTAGAAAATAAAATTACACTTACATTTGTGAAAAAGCAAAAAATACTTTGAAAAGTGGGGAAGCAAGAAATGTACTGTTCTACAATTCTGTTCTGTTCTTACCATCTTTTTATTCTGCCAATGACTTCCTATTCCTGCTGTGCAAGGTGGGGTGAGCTGCAAATGATTTCTTTTCCTCATTGATTTAAAATGTCATGTTTATAATGTACCAAACTCCCCCAGAAGCATTTGGGTTTATTTCTGGGCTCTATTCTATTCAAGTAATCTATCTGTTCACAAGCCACTATCAATTTTGATTATTGGAGCATCCTAAAGTTAAGTAATTGTTGTTTTTGTTTTTGAGATGCAGTCTCTCACTCTGCCACCCAGCTGGACTGCAGTGGCGTGATCTAGGCTCACTGCAAGCTCCACCTCCCGGGTTCATGGCATTCTCCTGCCTCAGCCTCCCGAGTAGCTGGGACTACAGGCACCTGCCACCACGCCTGGCTAATTTTTTGTATGTTTAGTAGAGATGGGGTTTCACCTTGTTAGCCAGGATGGTCTCGATCTCCTGACCTCGTGATCCGCCTGCCTCGGCCTCCCAAAGTGCTGGGATTACAGGCGTGAGCCACCGCGCCTGGCCCTGAATTTGCTTGAGTTTTTAGCTCTCTCACCCATTTCAGGATTGTCACCACCCATATCTGACACGTCCTCCTCCTCCTCTAAATCTTCTAGGTCCTCCTGGCCATCAGCCTCTGTTTCTGAACCAGCCTCTTCATGCTCCTGTTCTTCACTCTCTGGGAGAAGACTGATATCTTCATCTTTCTTTCACTAACCGCATTCTGGAAGCACTGTAAAATTGCTTCATTTTGCAATTCCAGTTGTTGCAAAGTCTGCTCATCATCAAAACTTTCTATCACAAGTTTTTGTAAAGGGCTGCCATGGATTCTACCATTCTCTACTGTTTTATTAAAGTCATAAAGCACTTTTGTTAAAGAAGTGAACTTTGGTTCCAATCCATCTTGAAACCTATTGGGAGGAATTAAATGAGATTTAGAATTATAGATAATAATTTCACAGCCCTCTTAATTAAAAGAAAAATAAAAACCTCAACTCTTCTGTAAAATCAAATTTGAATAAAGTGTAAGTATAGATTCTGGCCCCAACAACATATAAGCTGATGAGCCACAATGATATATAAAACCTGTCAACCAAGTATTTGTGAATCAGCTGTATAGATTGTTGGCAGGAAAAGCATTACAAATCTATTTGCTTGGAGATATATAGAGAATTAGCCTTAAATTTTCTACTCTGCTACATTATATACCACTCCATTCATTCATTCCCTTATTCACTCAATGATCAACATTTGCTTTGGCTACAGTGGTCAAGGAAAACCTCTCCTAGATGTGACATCTGAGATGAAACTTACAGACAAGTATAGTCTTATAAAGATTGGGAAACATGTATTCCAGGCGGAAGAAACAGCAAGAACAAATTCTCTAAGATGCAATTGAGCTTGGTAAGCCTGAGGAATAAAAAAGTGAGCATGGCTATAGCGTGAAGGAGGCAGAAGGTGAAGTTGGAGAGACTGATGGGAGCCAAATTCTGCAGGGCTCAAGGGTAAGAGTTTGCCGTTTTAAGTGTAATAAGAAAATGTGAGAAGATTTTAAGCAGAAGGATGAAATGATGATTTATACGAAGGAAGAAGAAAGGGAGGAAGGAGGAGGAGGAAAGTAGAGTGATTAGAAGGTTGATGCAGCATTCCAGGCAAAGGATGATGGTGATTTAAGCTGGAGTTAGAGCAGTGAATATGCTGAGTACAGTTTGGAGGTAGAACTGACAGGATTGCTAAGGAATTAGATACAGAATAGAGAAAAGTGAAGACATCAAAATAGCAGCCTAGTTTTATGTGCGAGCAACTGGAGAGACAGAACTGCCATTTAGTGCGATAGGCAAGGCTTGAGTGGTGGAGCAAGGGGAAAGGACTTCAGCGGATGGCAGAGTGTAGGTGGGTAGAAACAACATTCTACTGTATTTTGGACACAGTGAATTTGTGATGCTGAGAGGACCAAAATTTAAAAAATTGTTAAAAGCCGTACGGTGCGGATATCCCAGTTGTGCGCTACTGAATTCCAACTAAGCTCAGTCTGGAGTTGCTTGTGAGCAAGGAACTCAAGGGAGAGGTTGGAGTTTGAAACATAAATGAGTCATAATTTTATAGGTCATATTTGAAGTTCTTCAACAAAATACACATAAAAGGTTTGTGTTGGGAAGAGACATGAAAGTTCTAATTCTCAAGAAGCTTAGTGGGGTAGACAGACAAGTGACAAGTTTGTGCTTTCAATAAAGTATGATGGCAGGTAAACACTGAGTGCTTTAGGAGCACAGGCGGAAGGAGAAACCAACACAGTTGTGTGTAGGGGGATGGGGGCCGTAATAAGCCTCAAGGGGAGCTTATAGGCGTGAATAACTGAGGTTAGGTTGATTTCAATAACATTCAACTGAGAGATCCATACTGTAAAAGTTTTAACAATTTTTAAAATTTTGATAGCCTAGGTCCTCTGAAATGTGGGGAAAAGTGATTTACATTTCCCCTTACCTTCCCCCAGCTCCACAATTTGCCAGGGGTCTGCAACCCGTGTCCACGTGCGACCGCAGTCGCACCCGAGCCCGGGATCTGTGCACTTACGTGAGGATGCACTCGGGCCAGCCAGTGGCTTTGCCCACCTCCCTCAGACACCGCTCCAGGGTCCGTCAGCGCCAGGCCCATGGGCCATGGCTGTCTGCAACTCCCGACACAAGCTGCAAGGCAAGAGAGCCGCTGGGAAACCGCACCGCAAGGATGCTGGCATTGGAACAGGAATTAAAAGAAATGAAAAAATGTGTAAGCAAAAACTCAGCTGTATGTAAAAAAAACCCAATTCCCCCTGAGAATGAGAAAGAGCCTTAGTCCTTTAAAAAAACTACCTGTTTTCCTATGGCTAGTGAGCCTTATCGCTCCCTTCCCAGGCATTATCAAAACCCTAATTCCCTAACTGTGCAACTGCAAGGTCACTAAACAAACAAATGCAAGTCACAAAACATATTTTTCCTAAAAACGTAAAAAAAAAAAAAACATAATGCGTGCTTCAATTAAATAACTCTCTGTTTCTCGCTTCTGTAATATGCTTCCCCCTGCACAGATCTACCCGGGCTCCACAAAATGCTAAAAGATAACTCTTTATTCAGCTCAACGCTTTGATCTGCCTGGCGTGGTGGCTCACTCTTGTGATCCCAGGACTTTGGACGGCCAAGTAGGGTGGATCGCTTGTGCCTTGGAGTTCCAGACAGGCCTGGGCAACATGGTGAAACCTGGTCTTTTTGTTTTGTCTTGTTTTGAGACGGAGTTTCGCTCTTGTTGCCCAGGCTGGAATGCAGTGGCTGGGTCTCTGCTTGCCGCGACTTCCGCCTCCCGGGTTTCGGTCGTTGTCCTGCATCAGCCTCCAGAGTGGCTGGGATTGCAGGCATAAGCCACCAAGCCCGGCTAATTTTGTATTTTTTTTTTATTTTTATTTTGGTACAGATGGGGTTTCTCCCTGTTGGTCAGGCTGGTCTCAAACTCCCGACCTCAGGTGATCCACCTGCCTAGGCCTCCCGAGGTGCTAGGATTGCAGGCTTGAGCCACCGCTCCCGGCCCAACTTATTAATCAGAAAGGAATAGATCGTCCTGGTGTGGTGGCTCACGCTTGTGATCCCAGTACTTCGGATGGCCCAGCGCGGGGTATCCCTTGAGCCTAGGAGTTCCAGACCTGCCTGGGCAACATGGTGAAACCCGGTCTCTCTCTCTCTCTCTCTTTTTTTTTTGAGGCGGAGTTTCGCTCTTGTTTCCCAGGGTGGAGTGCAGTGGCTGGGTCTCCGCTCGCAGCGACTTCTGCCTCCAGGGTTTTAGTAGTTCTCCTGCCTCAGTCTCCGGAGTGGCTGGGATTGCAGGCCTGACCAACATTGCTCTGCTAATTTTTTTTTATTTGTTTTTGGTAGAGACGGGGTTTCTCCATGCTGGGCAAGCTGATCTCAAACTCCAGACCTCAGGTTATCCGCCCACCTCGGCCTCCGGGGATGCTGGAATTGCAGGCGTGAGCCAGCGCACACACCCAATTTATTTTTATTTCATTTTTTATTTTTATATATATATACTTTTGAGACGGAGTCTCACTTTGTCACCCAGGCTGGAGTGCAGTGGTGCGCTGTCTCGGCTCACTGCAACCTCTGCCTCCCAGGTTCAAGCGATTCTCCTGCCTCAGCCGCCTGAGTAGCTGAGATTACAGGCACCCGCTAGCACACCCATCTAATTTTTTTTTTTTTTTTTTTTTTTTGTATTTTTAGTAGAGATGGGTTTTCATCATGTTGGCCAGGCTGGTCTCGAACTCCGGACCTCAGGTAAACCCACCTCGGCCTCTCAAAGTGCTGGGATGACAGGAAGGATCGGCCTGGCGTGGTGGCTCACGCTTTTGATCCCAGGAGTTTGGACGGGCCGAGCGTGGCGGATCCCTTGATCCTAGGAGTTCTAGACCAGCCTGGGCAACATGGTGAAAACCGGTCTCTCTCTCTCTCTCTTTTTTTTTTTTTGAGGCGTAGTTTCCCTCTTGTTGCAGGGCTGGAGTGCAGTGGTGCGGTGTCGGCTCCCCGCGGCCTCTGCCTCTGGGTTTGGGTGGTTCTCCTGCCTCAGCCTCCGAGTGACTGGGATTGCAGGCGGGAGCCACCCTGCCCAGCTCTTTTTTTTTTTTTTTTTTTTTCTGGTAGAGACAGGTCTCTCCATGTTGGTCAGGCTGGTCTCAAACTCCCGATCTCAGGTGATCCGCCCGCCACGGCCTCCCGGGGTGCTGGGACTGCAGGCGTGAGCCACCGCTCCCGGCCCAATTTATTAATCAGAAAGAAATAGATCGGCCTGGCGTGGTGGCTCACGCTTTTGATCCCAGGACTTTGGACAACCGAGCGTGGGGAATTGCTTGAGCCTAAGAGTTCCAGACCTGCCTGGGCAACATGGTGAAAATCTGTCTCTTATTATTATTTTTTTTTTTTTTTGAGGCGGAGTTTCCCTCTTGTTGCCCAGGCTGGAGTGCAGTGGCTGGGTCTCCGCTCGCGGCAAATTCTGCATCCCGGGTTTTGGTGGTTCTCCTGCCTCAGCCTCCTGAGTAGCTGGGATTACAGGCGCCTGCCGCCACACCCGGCTAATTTTTTTTTTTGTATTTTTAGTAGAGACGGGTTTTCATCATGTTGGCCAGGCTGGTCTCAAATTCCTGACCTCCGGTGATCTACCCACCTCCGCCTCCCCAAGTGCTGGGATGACAGGCGTGATCGGCCTGGCGTGGTGGTTCACGCTTTTGATTCCAGGACTTTGGACTGGCCAAGCGTGGGGGATTGCTTGAGCCTAGGAGTTCCAGACCGGCCTGGGCAACATGGTTAAACCCAGTCTTTTTTTAAATTCCTTTATTATTATTATTGTTTTTTTTTTTTGAGACGGAGTCTCTCTGTCGCCCAGGCTGGAGTGCAGTGGCGCTATCTCGGCTCACTGCAGCCTCTGCCTCCCAGGGTCAAGGGATTCTCCTGCCTCAGCCTCCTGAGTAGCTGGGATTACAGGCGCCCACCACCACACCCGGCTAATTTTTTTTTATTTTTTAGTAGATCGTGGTAACTGCCTTAAAATGATGATTGTTCAGAAAGTCAGTTTAATTTAGATACTAAGGATATTGAGGTTATGTAACATTTGAGCAAGTTCTAAAAAAAAGAGAAATAGTATATTTAATTGCTAATAAAGTATTGTCAACTCACAAATATATTCACATAGCATACATTTCAAGAGCAGAATAACCATGAATATAAAAGGAATTAGCAAAAACGAAACAAAAAAGACATGAAGAAATAAAAACAGATGGAACAAATAGCACAAAATACGATGAAAGTTATAAAAGAAACTATGCCAACAATCACAATAAATGTAAATAGACTGAATAATTAAGAGAAAATGACTATAAAACAGAATTAGGGCACGCGTGGTGGCTCATGCCTGTAATCCCAGCACTTTGGGAGGATGAGGCAGGCGGAGGGATCACAAGGTCAGGAGTTCGAGAGCAGCCTGACCAACATGGTGAAACCCCATCTCTGCTAATACAAAAATTAGCCGGCGTGGTGGTGAACATCTGTAATCCCAGTTACTCAGGAGGCTGAGGCAGGAGAATCGCTTGAATCCAGGAGGCAGAGGTTGCAGTGCCGAGATCACACCATTACACTCCAGCCTGGGCAACAGAGCAAGACTCCGTATCAAAAAAAAAAACACACACAAAAAAACACAAAAACAGAAAATAAACAGTATGAAAAGACATCTAAAACATAAAGTCACAGAAAGACTGAGAGAGATTGAAAAAAGATACACCTGTCATATGTACCTAACCCAAAGAAGGGTTGGAAGCTATATTATTATCAGATAAAATAGGCTTTGGGCAAAAAGCAATATGGGAGATTTTTTAAGGCCACAATATAATGATAAAAATTCTAATAAACCAAGGGAGAAGGTAATCTAAAATGTTAATGTATCTAATAACTAGCACTCAAAATACATGAAAGCAAAATATGACAAAATTGCAACCCTCAGAGGGCAATTTAAATACATATCTCAGTATCTGATAAAAGAGACAAAAAACAATCAGCATAGACATAGAAGATTTACATCTCTCTAGAAAATTAACAAGCTTGACCTAATGTACAGAAAAAACATATCTCTCCAAAGTGACAGCATTCACCCCCCCAAGTACATATGTACTGAGCCATAAGGAAAATCTCAACAAATTCCAAAGAAGCGGAATCATGCACCCATCTTTCTCTCTAACCATAATCTCATTAAACTAAAAACAATAATAAAAAGATAAAGTAAAAAGCCAGAAAGGCAGATGCTAAATGAGAAAGTGACAGAAAAGTTACAGATTTTATTAAGCATACAAAGCTTCTATGGGGTAAAGCAGTCAAAGGGATATGCAAATTTACACAGAAATCCAACCGATATAAATCCTTGAAAGATACTACATACAGATATTTCATCAGTTCTCACATGCCAAACCCAGCAAAGCCAAACTTTGGAGCCTCCCCTGCGAGCAGACCTGCCACAGGAGGAGAGGCAGCACAAACCTCCCTTTGCAGTGAAAATGCCACATTGTGTGTGCTTCTTACCCCATCACCTCTTTGGAAGTGGCCCCACTCAGCGCTAGCTGAGAATCGCTTCCCTCATACCACTCTCAGTAGTTCACCCCAAGACACACGGGACAACTCTGTACCTGGTAAGTCATTGTGAATCCAATTAATAATGGCATTCAGAAAGTTAGGAATCTTTGAATTATTAGATTCATAGTGATATTCAAAAGAAAGAAAACGACATCATTTCTGTTCCACGCATGTTGCCCACATTCACTGCGTAAAAGGCAAAGGGAACTGTGAGTACCCACAAAGAACCTGATATTGACGGCACATACATTTCTTCATTAGGAAGAATAAATTTAGACTGTAACAATTTAAAAAACCAGAAAATACAACTGTACATTTTAGTTCTTATTAAAATCCAAGAGGTTTAACTTATTTGCTCCTTGTTTAGGTAATTAGTGTCTAAAACATTTCAAAGATAACATATATAGTGGCTACGATTTCTAGTACTTTTTAAAAATTCAAGCCCAGTCTCTTCTAATTAAATGTATAAATGATTTATCTCTGTCTTTCTTAAAAAGAACCAAGAGCCCCAATTAAAAAGTAAAACTTAAATTTCCTCTTAAAAAATTGTTACGTCAAAATTATCTAATAAACCATAGTTCAGAAAATAATTTCTGAATTAGGAAAATATGAATAATAAAACCAACAGTTTATGTGCTGAATTTCACATTTTTATTTTTTATTATTTTTAAAATTTTGTTTTAAGTTCTAGGGTACATGTGCAGGAGTGTTACGTAGGGAAACGTGTGCCATGGTGGTTTGGTCCACCTATCAACTCATCACCTCAGTGTTAAGCCCAGCACGCATTAGCTATTTTTCCTGATGCTCCTCCCCCACCCGCCCTGACAGGCCCCAGTATGTGTTGTTTCCCTTCCTGTGTCCATGTGTTCTCACTGAACCTCACATTTTTAAATACAGCATATGCCAGGTGTCATTTCAGTACCCATAATTATACATAGTATATGTATATGTGTAAATATATGTATATGTGTACATATATGTATGTAATATGTGTATGTAAATATTATGTAAATATGTATGTAAATATATATGTAAATATGTATGTGAATGTATGTAAATATATACACATGTAAATATGTATGTAAAAATATGTACGTAAATATATGTATGTAAATATATGTATATATAAATGTAAAATATGTAAATATTTGTAAATGTAAAATATGTAAATGTAAAATAAATGTAGAATGTCAAATGTAAATGTAAAATGTAAAATAAATGTAAAATGTAAAATAAATGTAAAATGTAAATGTAAAATATGTAAATATATGTATATGTGTAAATATATATGTGTAAATATATATGTATATGTGTAAATATATATGTGTAAATATATATGTATATGTGTAATATATATGTATATGTGTAAATATATATGTATATATAACACAGCATACAGCATATGCCAGGTGTCATTTCAGTACCCATAATTATACATAGTATAATTATACATAGTATAATTATACATAGTATAATTAGACTACTATGTTAGCTAAAAAATGTTGATTAGATACAAATGTATAAATTTATCTTCTCTAAACGTGGAAATTCTCTAGAGGCTATTTCCAGCTTCTGTGTGGATTGTAGAGCAGGCTGCTACCTGTACCCCAAAAATGAACACCTTAAAAAAAAGACAACTTTCTCAGCCTCCCTATTGCACACACATATGAAAAATATGTTAAATTCAACGCCAAATATTCCTGAGATCAACACAGCAGTGATCCCAAAGAGAAAATTTCTCTTTGCTAATGGGCACAAACTTGAAGGGCAAAGCAGTGGAAGGGTAAGTCTGCAGACTCGCGTGGGGCTCAAGTCAGAATCACGTGGAAGATCATTGCCACATGTTTTTGTTTTTTTAAATAGCAAACACCACCAAGTGGAGCCCGCCGGGTTTAGTAGATATTAAACCTCTAAGGAGTGGCACATCCGAGACTGAAATTCCCATCTTTTGATTCCCAGCTCAAGGTCTCTGAAATGCCAGCACCAGCTGTGAAATTGTTCTTCTGCATTTTCATGGAGACCTTTTCTTCTATACTGCCATACTCTTTTTTTTGGAACAGTTATACCTGATCTTCCTATTTTTGTGTGTGTTCCACCGAAACTTTTTCACTCTAAATACTTCCCTCTTTCCAACTGAGCATTTACATCTGTAACAAGGACAAAAACATCTAACATCTCTCTCACCCTTGGTTTGTGTTTTGTTTTGTTTGTTTTTGAGACAGGGTCTTGCTCTGTCACCCAGGCTGGAGTGCAGTGGCGTGATCACCGTTCACTGCAGCCTCGAGCTCCTGAGCTGAAGCAATTTTCCCACCTCAACCTCTGAGTAGCTGAGACTATAGGTGTGTGCCACCACGCCTGGCTAATATGTGTATTTTTTGTAGAGATGAGTTTTTGCCATGTTGCCCAGGCTGGTATTGAACTCCTGGCTTAAGTGATCCTCCTGCCTAGGCTTCCCAAAGTGCTGGAAGGAATTACAGGTATGAGCCACCGTGCCTGGCCTCACCATTGTTAAAATTATGGAAATCGTGTTTGCAAAGCAGGTTGGCCTGTTTGGAAAAGGGTGTCATAATTTCTCAGGTAACTCCAAAAAGAGAAAGCTACGAAAATTACCTTAATACATTCATTACAGTCTCAGTATAAGATTATAGCTTCCTCTCCCAAAGCGTAACCACAACCTGACGCAGGATGAGTTGGTTTGAAAATACCGCATACAATATCCTCTTGAGTAGAATCATAATTTAGAACTCTAAAAATGACCGGAAACAAAACTGTCCAAGTTTGTTTAACGTAATGTGTTTCAACTTATTTGACTAGAAAACCCTTCATTCGTGCAACACTTATAAATATCCCATGGCAAATCTAGTTTTCTATGAATAATGAACGAAACATTTATAATTTAAAACTAAAATTGTCTTCTAAGCAGAGATCTACGTATCAATAAAATGAAGAAATAAAATTTCCATACTGTTTGCTTCCCAATACAAGGATTAGAAGGAAAGGGAAAAGAGTAACAGCGAGAATCAATAGCCCATGTCTGGCCAGGCTCCATGGCTCAATCACACCTGTAATCCCAGCAATTTCAGAAGCTGAGGCGGGAGGATCACTGGCCTTTAGTGATCCTTGAATGAAACTCCATCTCTAAAAAATTAAAAATATTAGCTTAGAGAATCATTTGGGCCCAGGAGTTTGAGGCTGTATTGAACTATGACTATGCTACTGCATTCCAGCCTGGGCAACAGGCTGCTTAAACCTGGAGGGGCAGAGCTTGCAGTGAGCCGAGATCGCGCCACTGCACTCCAGCCTGGGCAAAGGAGCCAGACTCCGTGGCAAAAAAAAAAAAAAAAAAAAAGAGATTCTATTCACAATAACAACAAAACCCTGAGAATATATCTAGCAAAGTATACACAGGCCTTTCATGAAGAGTATTGCCATAGCCTGAATGTGTCTCCCAAAATTCATGTATTAAAACTTAATTCCCAAGATGATAGTACTAAGAAGTGGGGCCTTTAAGAAGTGATTAAGACATAAGGGTGAGCCCTCATGCATGAGATTAGTGCCTTCCTTATAAAAGGGCTTGTGGGTGGTGGTAAATCTGTCCCTTCTGCCTCATGAGAACATAGCATTTGCCTGCTCCAGAGGAAGCAGCATTCAACGTACCATCTTGGAAGCAGAGACCAGGCCCTCACTAGACACTGTGTCTGCTGGAGTCTTGATCTTGTTCTTCCCAACCTCCAGAACTGAGAAAATAAACTTCTGCTCTGTGTAAATTACCCAGTCTCAGGTGTTTTGTTATGGCACTATGAAGGGACTAAGACAAATATAAAAATTACCCAGGGACTTAAAGGAAGAACTGACTAAACTGAAATATATGCCATATATATTATGAATCGTAGGACTCAATGCTATAAACATACTACTTCTCAACAAATTAATCTATAAATTCAAGAAATTCCTACACAAATCCCAATAGAATTTTTTTGTGGAACTCGAGAGGCTGATCCTAAAATTCATACAGTCACTTGAGGGACCAAGAATAGTGTAACAGGGCTGGCGGGGCTGGTGGCTCACACCTGTAGTCCCAGTACTTTGGGAAGTCAAGACTGGAGGATGGTTTGAACCCAGGAGTTCAAGACCAGCCTAGGCAACATAGCAAGATGTTGTCTCAAAATATTAAAAATAAATAAATAAATAAATAAAAAGAAGGTTAAGTATGCACATTTTGTTGTGAATTTCAATTTTATAGTGATTTTTTTTTTTTTTGAGACAGGGTCTTGCTCTGTCACCCAGGCTGGAGTGCAGTGGTGCCATCTTGGTTCACTGCAACCTCTGCGTGGGCTCAAGCAATCCTCCCGCCTCACTCTCTGGAGTAGCTGGGACCACAGTTATGTGCCACCACACCTGACTAATTTTTATATATTTTTTTTGTAGAGACGGGGTTTTTCCATGTTGCCCAGGTTGTTCTCAAACTCATCCACCTGCCTTGGCCTCCGCAAGTGAGATCACAGACATGGGCCACTGTGCCCGGTCTAGTGCGCTTTTTTTTTTTTTTTTTTTTAACCAAACAAACGATGAAGTCTCAGGAGTAAAAGTTGATACACAAGTAAATTTTATTGGTAATGTTTTTGTGTGGTCTTTAAGCAGAGGGAAAATTAGTCTGCATTATGGTGTATCCAGACTAAATAACTGATATTAAAATGAAATTATCCTTAGGATTTGCAATCTTAGAGAAAACTTTTTCATTTTTTTTGAGTTACAAATTATCTTCACTTACATTTGAGAACAGTGAGTCACAGAGGGATTAAGTATCTTACTCAAGATCTTGCAAGTGTTTGGTTTGAACCCAATCTTTTCACTCTGCAGAACTCAGAGTCACTCTTATTTGGAAACTTTTTAACTGATGTGGATCCTCTAATATGGGCTTCCTATTATTCATTCCGTATTAGTCAGAAGTTTTGCAAGCAGGCAGAATTCATTTTGCCAATTACGGGATTTTCCCTCAGTTGCAGTCAAGGTTCATAAAACTATAACTATTTATCTTTAATTATAAATTTTGTTTTTGAGACAAAGTCTTGCTCTGTTGCTCAGACTGGGATCCAGTGGCACAGTAACAGCCCATTGCAGCTTTGAACTCCTGGGCTCAAGGGATCCTCCGCCTCAGCCTCCCAAGTATCTGGGACTACAAGTGCATGCCATCATCCCTGGCTAATTTTGTTAAAAAAAAAAATTGTAGAGATAGGGTCTTGCTTCGTTGCCCAGGCTGGTCTCAAACTCCTGGCCTCAAGCAAGCCTTCAGCCTTGGTCTCCCAAAGGGCTGAGATTACAGGTGTCAGCCATTGCACCTGGCCAAAACTGTAACTATATATACACACACACATAACTACATATATATGTGTGTGTGTATGTATGTGTGTGTGTATATATATTTTTATATATAAATAGATATATCTGAAAGGCATCAAAAGAAAAAAGCTGTAACTTTTAGTCTTGATCTTGATAGTGACTTGATTAGGCTATCTGTTTAACATCAAAGATGCAAATTAATGCTTTCTTTGGGTGAGCATATTAAAAATGCAGAAAATATTGGAGTAGTTTTTTATGTTAAATAAATTGTATTCTGTGTATTTAAGGTATACAACATGATTTTGTGGGATGCATATAGATGGTTAAAAAAATTACTACAGTGAAGCAAATTAACGTATCCTTCAACTCAGATAGTTACCCGTTTTCTTTTTGTTTGGTGGCAAGAGGAGCTTAAAATCTCATTTAGCGTGAATCCCAATACAGTACAATTTTATTACCTATATTTCTCGCGTTGTACATTATATTTCTAGGCTTGTTCATCCTACATATCTGCTACTGTGTAACCTCTGAGCTATGTCCACCCATTTTCTCTCTTGCCCCCCAAGTAATTTCCTAAAGTGTCTCATATAAAAAGGCAGTAGCTTTCAGCTTAAACTTTTTCTCTGTATATATTTAAGTCAATTTCTTTGAGGTATGTTTTTCTCTCCAGAATAGTTAGATGTAGGCATACCACTTTAATGTTGACACTAGTTCACCTAGAACTTATCTTCTGCAAATCTGTCTCTATGTCCATCTCTGTCTCCATCTTTGTCTCTATCTTTATCTCTGTCTATCTATCTATCCATCCATCCATCCATCCATCTATCTATCTATCCATCTATCTGTCTATCTAACTAAAGCAAATTCATGCCCTTCTCCTATTTATGGAATCGAGACCATAAACAGAGGTGAGGGAAAGAATTTGGCAGGAATTGCGATGTGTATTACCTGTGGCATAAGGAAACTACAGAACTAGGGTCAAAAGTATACTTTCTAGTTCTTTCCCATGGCTTTTCACTTTGATGTAGTCCTTATCAGGCAACTGAGGTTTTATATAAGTCCCCTGATTCTTAGAACATGAAGGTGTAGTATTCAAGTTTGGTCCCTTGAAACCACAATTTTTGTTAAAAAAATTTAAGAAAATTGTATGATTTCCTCAGCAAATACATATTGATCATCTGTTATACAGCCATGAGAAGTGGTTCTGTTGAACACGTTTATTTTATCAGATCCCAATTCTAAACCAGGCATAGAATGGAAACCATGAAGGTAGGATGAAATAACTTCTGAATGTTTGAAAATAGTGTACTTAAAAATAAATATCAGGTGTTTTTGTTTTGTTTTTTGTTTTTTGTTTTTGAGACAGGGTCTCACTCTGTCACCCAGGCTGGAGTGTGGTGGTGCCATCTCACCTCATTGCAGCCTTGACCTCCCAGGCTCGGGTGATCTCCCACCTCAGCCTCCCAAGTAGCTGGGACTACAGGCACATGCCACCATGCCCAGCTAATTTTTTGTATTTTTTGTAGAGACAGGGTTTCACCATGTTGCCCAGGCTGGTCTAGAACTCCTGGGCTTAAGCGATCTTCCCACCTCAGCCTCCCAAAGTGCCAGGATTACAGGCATGAGCCACCATGCCTGGCTGAAAATACCAGGTTTTTAAGTATCAGCACTGCCTCTTCAATCTTTTCTATTACTATGTTGTGCTCAGTGGTATTTTTTATTGAATTAGAGCAGTGCTGTTCAATGGAACCTTCTTTGAGGATGGAAATCTTTTATGTCTCTGCTGTGTGGGTATGGTATTAGCTGGGTATGGGGCACCTGCCTATAGTCCCAGCTACTCAAGAGGCTGAGGTGGGAGGATCACTTGAGCCCAGGAGGCCGAGTCTGCAGGTTCGTACCACTGCAATTCAGCCTGTGTGACAGAATGAGACTCAGTCTCAGAATAAAATGAAATAAGGAAATAAAAATGTAATTGTTGAAATAAGAAACTAGTGGATGGATTAGACACGAGAAGAAAGAATTAATTGTTTAGACGATTCTCTCCAAAAAGTAAGTCAGCATGTCACACAGAGAGACATGAGGATAGATGATAGGGCAGAAGTTGGTGGGCTTGGAGGGGAGAGGAAGATCAGAATGAGGTCCAAAATGTGTCTTAGTGAAATCCCAGGAGGAGATATTAAAATTATATTAGAAAGTGAAAGAAATAGAAGTTTTATTTATTTATTTATTTATTTATTTTGAGAAGGAGTCTCGCTCTGTAGCCCAGGCTCGAGTGCAGTGGCACGATCTGAGCTCACTGCAAGCTCCACCTCCTGGGTTCACGCCATTCTCCTGCCTCAGCTTCCCAAGTAGCTGGGACTACAGGCACCCACCACCACGCCTGGCTAATTTTTTGTATTTTTAGTAGAGATGTGGTTTCACCTTTTTAGTCAGGATGGTCTCAATCTCCTGACCTCATGATCCACCAGCCTCAGGCTCCTAAAGTGCTGGAATTATACGCATAAGCCACTGCACCCGGCCCAAAAGCTTTGTGTTTTTACAAATATTACACATGTTTCTTGTTTAAGAAAAAAAGTCTTCACAATAACGTAGGAGAATAAGAGAAACATTTTTCCAAAAAAGAGAAGTCATTGTGATTATTTTATCTTATTGGAATGTTGGATAATATAGTCTGCTTCAGTAATCATCAAGCATGCTATGGATTTTCCATTTTCATAGGATCTGTATCTCGGTTAAGGTAATACTGGTAATTTTTGTACTCTATGAAAAATATAGGCCAAAATCATAGACCTTGCATAGAAGCTGGATCATGAAGACAGCTCTGGAGGAACACACAGGTACACACACACAGACACACATATATATAAAGTATACACATATATATTTTTTAAAAGCTTTTAAAGCAAAAGCCGGCCCTGCCCCTCTCCCAGAGTTGGCGGCCTCTCCCCTCTCTTAGGGTGGGTGGGGACAGTGGTTGCCTGGGCAGCTTTCCTTGTGAGCCAAAGGTCCCTCTGGACACATGATGCCTGGCCACGCCCCCTTTCCCTTTCATCTTTCTCATTAACCAATGGTCTTGGAGCATTAAGGCCACGCCCCTATTCTGCCTTCTACTGCATCCCTGGTTACGCCTCCTCTGGCTCAGTCGCACAGCTACCTGGTAGGTGACTGGAGGTGTTGATCAGTGCTTGGTGGGATTTTGCTGATGTGGCCCCAAGCCCGCCTCCCTCCCCACCCTGCGATGGCAGAAGAAACTCGACAAAGTAAATTGGCAGCAGCCAAGAGAAAGGTAAAAACACACCAGGTCACGGACCCCCAACCCAGCCATAGATCCTCTCCAACGACAAGACTGCTGCCAGAGTCCATACCACTCCCGAGGTTCACCGGACTGGGACCCCCACACCGGTGCCTCTGGGCTACCCCCACCAAAGTTTTGCCAGTCAGCCCCACCCCTTCAGCAAGCAGCCCAGTCTCTGCCCTCACCAATCACCCCAGGGTGACTTTGGGCAGGTGAATCCTGGGGATCCCCGCTCCTTTACTGGGCCCTCATCTCCTGCCACCCCAAGCTTGACCTCCCAGGGCTTTTTGGGCTCACATCTCCAAGGACCTGGGTCCCACAGCCCCAGACCCCACCCTCACCAGTCATCCCTGGGTGACTTTAGGCTGGTGAATCCTGGGGCTCCCTGCTGCTGACTCTTCCCTTCCCTCCTGCTGCCTCAAGGTGGACCTCCCTAGGCTGTGTGCACTGGTGTCTCCAAGGACCTGGGTCCCAGCTCTGTTTTTCCCTCCCCTATCATGGAGCGGTGACTCGGACATCATGCTGATGTGGTCCCTCCCCCTCACCAGGAAGAGTGGAATGTAGTGATGTCACGGTCCATCCAGTAACTGTCATTACTGCAAGACTGGCCTTTGATCTTATGACCCAGTCCCCTAAGCATTGCCACCCCATTTCTGGTTCCTCTTGTCACAGCACAAATTTCCAGCTGGAAGGGGAATGGAGATTGGGACCTAGAAGCAAGAGGTTTCAGGCTGCCTCACTCCCTTAACATAAACACTGACAGCGGGAAAAGCCTACACTTCCCCTGTGAGCTCAAAACATTGACAGTACCTCTGGATGGCAACTGGAGAATGGGTTTGACTTGGTTTGGTTTTCTCCCAGGCTTCTACTTTCCAGAGAGATTTTAACAAATTTTTTGTGAGTTCTCCACCTCACATTCTAATTCTCCATGGTTCTGGGACCAGACTGCCCTTCAGTCAGTGGTCTGTGAAGTGAGATTTGCTCATCTTCTGTGGAATAGATCTTGGGAAACTGAACTTGACAGCTTGAATCTTCCTCATATTATGTAAACCTGGGGTACTTTGAGTGCCACAGGATACATATGGGACATCTTTCTGAAGCATCAGTTTCCATTGATTCTCTTGAGATCAAGAGAAAAAACATTAATGTACTTAAGGATGACAGTCACATAGGTTTCTAAGAGTATACCAGACCTCTCTCTGAAATGAGGCTTGGGTTGTCCTCTTTCTGATAAATTCCCAGATTTAACAGAAAGGCTGCCTTCTGCCATGAGGATACATTGATATAAGAGTTTGAGAGGTACTGGTGCACTTCTTCACACTAACAGACGTGTGAGGATGTATGACTCTAAACCACATGGCATACAGTTCCTGCCTACTTAATGTTTACTTTTCTACCTCTGCCTCTGGTTTTGGTCCCTGGCAGCTGCTGATTCTTGGTAATACCCCAGAGTTTGGAGTCAGAAGACTGAGTTTCAAAGTTCGTCTGTCGCCTTTTTCTTTTCTTCTTTTTTTTTCTAGCCATGATATCAATCTCTTTGAGTCACTAAATGATTGTGACAACACCTTGTACAGTTGTTGGTGTCATTAAATCAGATGGTGTATAAGAGTATTTTATAAAAACTGTAAAGGAGGATGTGGCTGCAGGGGCTGATAGTTCTCATGAGTATTACTGCTCTTGTTTCTGACAGTTAAAAGAATATTGGCAGAGAAACAGCCCTGGTGTTCCAGCAGGAGCCAAGAGGAACAGGAAAACAAATGGCAGCATCCATGAGACAGCCACTTCTGGTGGTTGCCACTCACCTGGAGATGTGAGTCTTGGCTGACTAGGTTCCTGGGGACAGGGGACCCAAGGGGCACTAGAGGGTAATTGTTAAGATTGTGGATGGACTGTTGGGTACCTGTGAAGAATTCTGGGTTTGAATCCTGCCTCTTTGTCTGCTAGGGATATGAATTAGGGCAAGTTGCTTGACCTCATCGGGCCTCTCTTTTCACATCTGTATAATAGAGGTGGTATTGTTTCACTTCCATTTGTGAAGTTTAAATGAGATCTGTTATTGTTGTTTTTATGTTAATCTCTAGTACATGGCCTGCTGTAAACACCCAGAACACCCAGGATATGGTCATTGCTGTTCGATTTTCCTCATCCCCAGTCTCAAGGGGAAGCCAGGACAATGAGAACAGTCACTTGGCACAGGAGTCACTGAAAGGGCCGCAGGGTGCTGTGGTGGGGAGATAAGAACCATGAGAGAAGTTGGCACAAAGGAGTTATGGGACAAAGGGTCCAAGATAGGCAGAAAAGAAAATTGTGCCAGTTGATGGGGAAGAAAAGAAGTCAGAGGGCTTAGATACTGAGTGGGACAGAACATCTTCATGTGCACTCTCATCTCTTGTAGTCAGCAACAGGTATCCACGGGGAGAGCCCTACATCATCTGCTACCCTGAAGGATCTGGAGGTAAGAGGCTCTGGGCAGAGGTGCAGTGACCCTGCAGGGCAGCCCTCCAACCTCCTCCTCCAGGTGGGACGGGGTGCCCCTCTGCCAGCTGAGACAGTCCACACACACCCCAGCCCTAATGATTGCTCTCTCTACCTCTCCCCCCACTCCTCCTCCACCTCCTCCTCTCTGCATGCGCCTCAGAGCCCGTGCCAAGAACTAGCAGTAGTCCCAGACTCGAGGTCCGTAAAAGTCAGTCAACTGAAGAACACCATCAAATCTTTGGTAAGAGTCCACTGGGGTCCCCTGATTCCACGCTGCCAATCCTGGGCTCTAGTTTCTCCTTGGGGCCCTGAAGAAAGGGGACAGGGGCCCCTGGTGCCAAGGGCGAATAGGGAGCTGGGGCACCCAGGCCTCACCTGGAGGGACCCCGGAGCATGCAGCATGGCTCTTTTTTTGCTGCCCTGTTTGCTGACTCTCCCCTCTCCAGACGCCCCTGCTCGAGTCCTTGCTACACACGCCCTGGGATTGTTGCCTCTTGGGGAAGTGCTAGCCTGACTGGTTGTCAGGGGCCCTGTATTTCTGCCATGACTCAGTCCCTAATTTGCTCTTTGATTCTGGACAAGCCACCTCTCCTTTTTGGGCTCGTGTTTCCAGAGGAAGTAGTGAGTATCATAGGTCTCTGTTAGCTCTGAGAGTCTGAGATTTAAAGGCCTCCTAGAATGGAAACCTCAGGGCCAAAGGCTCCTGTCTGTCCTTTTCCGCCCTAAATCTGCTGTGAAGAACCGTACTTGGCCCGTACGTGCTCAGTAAATGTTTATTGAATGAATGCACTTTTCTAAATCACAAGCTGGCAGAAGGGGGGGCCTTTCTCAAACTCCATCTCTAGAGGTTTATGTTACTGTCCTGTCAAGAGATTCCAGATTCAGACCTTGAGTTCTGTGGCTGTGGACAAAAGCCAACAAAGACCCAAATCCTCTGTCCTTGGGAGCTTGAGGAGAGTTTACCAGTTCGTGTTCCCACTGGGTCTGAGAACTTTGCCTTTAAAATCCATTCCTGGTCCCTGCCTACCACTTCCTGCTCTGGGGAATAGAGTTGAGGGGGCCACCCTCCATCACCTTAATGTGACTCTCCCCACAGAAACAACAGAAGAAACAAGTGGAACATCAGCTGGAAGAAGTAACATGATTTCTTTGTTTGCTCGCGACATGACTGCTCGGTTTGGGGGACACTCAGATGTAGAGGCCCCGAGTCTCGTCTCACCCACTCCCAGCCTGGGGAAGAAGGCTCACCCCCCAGAGTCCACCCCATCCCCCACAGGGTCCCTGATAACCCGGTCCCATGGGTGGGCCTGTCCCGGGGCAGGGGCAGTGGTGGCATTCTGGGGACATGTCTCTTGCAGTACCATCTCTGCCTCCGCCTGGTTAGATCTCTGTCTTCCTCTTCCTACAGGAAAAGAAAGCAAACAACGAGAAACAGAAAGCTGAAAGGGGGCTAGAGGTGAGTGGACAGTGTGCAGTTTTCTCCTGTCCTCCGGAGAATGTTTCTTTCCTTCTCTTTCAGCACTTGCTTGGCTTTTCTCCCAAAGGTTCAAATCCAGAGATTGAACATACAGAAAGGGAAACTAAATACGGACCTGTACCACACGAAACGTTCTCTCAGATACTTTGAAGGTGGGAATCTGGGTACCCTGTCATCCTTCAACCTGGGACTTTGACAGGTCTTCAGGGGGAGTCCTTTGGGCCCCATCTCAACTCTCTCATTACAGAAGAGTCCAAGGATCTGGCCGTCCGTCTGCAACATTCATTGCAGCGTAAAGGAGAGTTAGAGCGGGCTCTCTCTGCTGTCACCGCCACACAGAAGAAGAAGGCGGAGAGGGTGAGTCCAACCACCTGCCGCGTCCCCTGGTAGCCTGGCTTCGCAGACAGAGGAGTGAGCCTAAAGGTCCCTTCTGCAGGATGGAGTGTCCTGCCCAGAAGGCAGCATGGCCATTTCTCACTGCTTTTTTGTATGGTTGTTAGCGGCAGCTTGGGACTGAGTCAGCTGCTGTGGGTGAGTGGGGGGGGCACTCTGGGGAGAGAGCACAGGACGTAGAGCTTGGAGGCCAAGTGCCTGCCATGCCTTTACCTGGCTGTGGTCTTGGCCAAGTCCTAAGTGGGGTATTGGGTACTTGTACTGTGAAGGTACAGAAGAGTACCTTTAGTATGTTACCATTTCTGTAGAGAGAGGAAACGTGTGTGTGTGTGTACATATTATGATAATATACATAAAATATGTTTGCAAGTGTTCATAAAAACTCAGGAGAGAGCAACAGGGTGGCTGGGAGATACTTCCCTTCTGTATCTTCTGAGTTTGGGACTATGTGAATGTATTATCCTTTCAAAAAGTGAACAAAAGATTAATTTTCCCCTTCCTAGCTGTGCCCCCACCCCCAGCAAGAAAAATGGGCTTAGAGAATTGGATAGATCTGGGTGTTTAAATCCCAGCTCTGCCTAAGTGATCTTAGGCAAGCACTTAACCTCAAATACTCCATGTTTTTTCATCTACACAATAGAGGTCATCATAGTAACTGTCTCCCATGGTGGTTGCGAGGATTAAATGGGATTGCTAGCATGGTATCTGGTGAAGCACTCCATAAAAGTTCAAACAGTGGTAATAATAACAGTAATAACAATAGCAATATTATCTGATCTCTCTGGGCCTCTGTTAGCCAGCTATAAATTCGATCTCTTTCCCTGTCCCTTCCAACTTTACTGAGTTCTTTAAAAACCAAACCACGGGCTTGGAAATGCCTTGATCTTTACTGACCGAGTTGTATATTGGGCCTAGCCCTGGCCCTTTTAAGGGGCACTGTGTGGAATGGCCCGGCCTCCCCAGATTGAAACTTCTCACTCTTCAGCAGTTCTCCAGCCGCAGTAAAGCACGTATGGAGTGGAAGTTAGAGCAGTCCATGCGGGAGCAGGCACTGCTGAAAGCGCAGCTGACACAGGTGAGGTGTTCAGAGGGAGGGATGTGGAAGGAAGATGACCCCAGGTAACCAGGAGCAGGTGAGGACCAGTGACAGCCCTTCCTAATTTCTGTGCCCATTCTTGCAGTTGAAGGAGTCACTTAAAGAAGTCCAGCTAGAGAGGGATGAATATGCTGAACATCTAAAAGGAGAGAGGGCCCGGTGGCAGCAGAGGATGAGAAAAATGTCGCAGGAGGTGAGATCTGACCCTTCAGCCCCCCCACATTAGATAGGTCACTGGATCTTTCTGGGCACCTGTAAAATGGGAATAGTAGAGCCAGAGGTGGTCCTGGGACTGGGCTTTGTGGAGGTGGGGGCAGAGAGGGAGATGGTAGCATGTCCAGCCTCCAGCCCCTCTCTCCAGGGCCCTTTCCCCCTGTGCTTTGGGCAGGTTTGCTCGTTGAAGAAGGAGAAGAAGCATGATAAAAATCGGGTAGAGACGCTGGAGAGGAGCTTGTCCAAACTCAAACACCAGATGGGTAAGATGGGGCTGGCATGACCTGACAGCAGGACTGGCATCAGAGGGCTGTGAGGGTGGCTTGGAGTGCCCCAGCGAGGTGGGTGGATGGGAAGGGCTTTGAGGCAGAGGGAAAGAGGTCTGTGCCAGGAGACGGCAAGTCTTGTCATCTCAATGAGCCTCAGTGTCCCCATCAGCAAAGAGGGCCCGTTGTCAGCCACCCGCAGTGCTCTTTCTCTGAAAGTGGTTTGGAAGACTGGCTACCATCTGGGTGGGAGGAATCATTAGCAGTGAGGCCAAGTTTGAGGAGCCTGAGAGGAGCTGTGCGCCAAGAGGAGGGTTTTTCTTTTCCGAGAATCCAGAGGCCCTTATTATCTGCTTCCTTTCTCAGCTGAACCCTTGCCCCCGGAGCCCCCAGCAGTGCCCTCTGAGGTGGAGCTGCAGCACCTGAGGAAGGAACTAGAGAGAGTGGCAGGAGCGCTCCAGGCCCAGGTGGAGTACAATCAGCGCATAAGTCTCCTGAATGAGGGGCAAAAGGAGAGACTTCGGGAGCAGGAGGAGAGGCTTCAGGAGCAGCAGGAGAGGCTTCGGGAGCAGGAGGAGAGGCTTCAGCAGCTGGCCGAGCCACAGAACAGCTTCAAGGAGCTGGTGCGTTGCCCCAGCTGGGGAGCCTGCCCTCCTCCCTAGCCCTCCAGGCCTTTGTTTCCCCACCTATAAAATGTGGCAGTGTAGCCCTCAAGTGAAATGTTACTCCTAAAGGCACCTGTGAGCCAGAGCCCTGCTCTGGTGGCTGTGGGAGACAGGGGATGATTTTTCTAACCTGCCTCTACCCTTCCCGGTGCCATGGGAGGCAGTCACCAAGTTCTGGGGTCTCCAGCTGCAGTGGGTGGCTGCTGATTGCTTCTCTCTGTCCAGAACAATGAGAACAAGAGCGTACTACAGTTGGAGCAGCAAGTAAAGGAGCTGCAGGAGAAGCTAGGCAAGGTGAAGGAGACGGTAACCTCCACCCCATCCAAGAAGGTCTGGGAGGTGGGCACCAGCCTCTGGGGAGGGGAGGTGCCAGGCCAGAGGCAGCTCCAGCCCGGGGGCAGGTGACCCCAGCACCCTCCAGGGCAGTCCTGTGGCTGTTTCTTGCTTCCTGCCCTCTGATTTTAGAGGTGGGTAGCCCTGGGCTCCTCCCAGGTCTGGACATCATCATTCCAGCTAGAGACATGGAGCACCCCCAATCACAGGGGAAGAGACAGAGTGGTATAACAGTCTTCTTATGCCAGACGCGGTGGCTTACGCCTATAGTGCCAACACTTTGGGAGGCTGAGGCAGGAGAATCACTTGAGGTTTGGAGTTTGAGATCAGCCTGGCCAACATGGTAAAACCTCATCTCTACTAAAATTACAAAAACAAAAAACAAAAAAAGGAAGAAAAATTAGTGGGGCATGGTGGTGGCGCATGCCTGTAATCCCACCTACTCAGGAGGCTGAGGCACGAGAATTGCTTGAGCCCAGGAGGTGGAGGTTGCAGTGAGCTGAGATTGCACCACTGCACTCCGGCCTGGGCCACAGAGTGACACTCTGTCTCAAAACAAAACAAAAAGACTCCTTAGATTAAAACTGGATTCCAGCCTCAGTTCCACTGGTCACCATTCAAGTACTTCGCATCTCTAAGTCTCTGTTTCTTTAACTTCAAAAGGAAGTTAGCATTTTCCTTACAGAGGTGCTGAGGATTAAATGAGATAATACATGGGAAGCATTAGGCCTGTAGCACATTTAGCAGATGGTGGTTGGCTCCCACTACTTTTCTACCATTCTGTGGCCTACAGTTGAAATGGTGGGAAGAGGACATGAGATTTGAGGCTGGGGAAGGAGGCATGGGGTTCTAGGAAAGGGAGGCAGTCACTTAGGCCTGGAGTAAGGGGCCAGGGGCCTGGGCAGGCGACAGAGCCCCACAGTGCCCTCGCTACCCTATTAATGGGCCCAGAATCTGGAAACCAGCCACCACGTGCCCTCACACCCAGGGTCTTCCTGCAGGTGGAGCTGAAGAGCCAAGAGGCTCAGAGTCTGCAGCAGCAGCCAGACCATTACCTGGGTCACCTGCAGCAGTACGTGGCCACCTATCAGCAGCAGGTGGCCGCCTATCAGCAGCTGACCTGTGAGAAGGAGGCGCTGTACAGGCAGTGACTGCAGCAGACCCAGCTAATGAACCAGCTGCAGCAGCAGGAAGCTTGGGGCAAAGCGGTGGCCGAGATGGCCTGCCAAAAGTTGCAGGAGGCCCAGGGGAGGGAGCTGCCGAGGATGGGGCCGTGAGGGGGACGACCTGGCAAACTCTGTGCCTTCTCACTCTTTCCTGGCCCCTTAGGAGCGCCTGGAAGCTGCCAGCCAGCAGAAACAGCAGCTAACGGCCCAGTTGAGCCTCATGGCTCTCCCTGGGGAAGGTACGGGAGACCGCTCAGAGGAAGAGGAGAGAGCCCCAGGAGGAAGGGGGGACTGCTAGCAGCATAGGATTGAGGAGTTGGAAGAGACCTTTAGAACAGCTGGTCATTATACTAACCGGGTGCCTGCACTAAGTTCAGCATCAATATGGTGACCTCCTGGGAGCGGGGGGCCACCAAGTTGCCTAAGGATGGCTGAACTGGCCGAGGTCAGAAAGGGAGCAGGTCAGAACTCCCGCACCGACCAGTAGTGGGAATGTGCCTGGGCAGTATAGCAAGATCTTGGTTCTTCAAAGTAAAAATAAATAACAGCAGCTCATTCCTCTCTGGGGAGGGCCTGGCTCAGGGTTACACAATGAGGGTGGAGGCAGAGGTGGGCCCACAATACTTCCCTTGTTGAGTTGTCTGAAGACCCCTCTGGCCACCCCCCACAGGACACGGAGGAGAACATCTGGACAGTGAGGGGGAGGAGGCACCTCGGCCCATGCCGAGTGTCCCAGAGGACCTGGAGAGCAGGGAGGCCATGGTGAGCCTGACTCCCCCTGCACCCATTTTGCCACCTTTCTCTGTGGTCCCTCCAAGACCCCTTTATGCTCTTCGTTTCCCTGCCTTCTGATTTCTCTGGACCCTCACCCCTTCCGAGAGCCAGTGGTCAGACACCATTTCACCTGTGACCAACATGTGCAGTCTCTGGGGCCCCAAGGGAAGGGGCTGCGCTCCACCTCTCTGCCCCATTTCTTCTGTGTATGCCCCTAGAAGAATGCTCACATCTTGCCCTCAGGTGGCATTTTTCAAGTCCGCTGGAGCTAGTGCCCAGGAGAAGCAGGCACAGTTACAAGAGCAGGTGAAAGAGCAGAGGGTGTGCTGCCAGCGCCTGGCTCACCCGGTGGCCTCGGCCCAGAAGGAGCCAGAGGCAGCGGTCCCAGCCCCAGGGCCTGGGGGCGAGTCTGTGAGTGGGGAGACCCACCGGGCCCTGCAGGAAGTCATGGAGAAGCTGGCCCATGCCGGAACTCACCTCCGCCTTCTCCATGACTTGAAAATGCCACCTGAGGGCAGGTCGCTGGCGAGATGTGACCCCATTATTTTGGCTCCAGAGCGGCTTTATGGACCACCTGGAGGAGAAGGCAGACCTGAGTGAGCTGGTGGAGAAAGAAGAACTTGGATTCTTCCAGTACTACAGAGAGAGATGCCATCAGTGAGTGGGAGGCCAGGGCATGGCAGGGGGAGCTGCAGGGCTGTTGGAGGGGCCCCAGCGTCTGAGCCCTGTCCTCCCGCAGGAAAGTTTATCACCCTATAACAAAGCCAGGGGGCAGTGCCAAAGATGCAGCACCGGGAGGAGGACACCATCAGGCTGGCCCTGGACAGGGAGGAGATGAAGGTAGAGTGTGCAACATCTCTGCGGGGGTGGGGGTGGCTGTGACGGTGAGCGCTGGCAGCAGCGTGACAGCTGAGCACCCCTCCCTCCAGGTGAAGCTGCTGGAGCTGCAGGAGATGGTGTTGCAGCTGGTGGCGACTACAAGGGACACAGCAAATTCTTGGTGACTGCCCAGAACCCTGCTCATGAGCCCAGTCCAGGAGCCCCAGCCCCCCAGGAGCTTGGGGCTGCCCACAAGCATGGTGGTGAGTAGAGCCCTCAGGCGGGGTGGGCAGGCAGGAGCAGGGGGGCTCTCACTGAGCTCAGATCCCCACCTCCCTCTCTCCAAAGATCTTTGTGAGGTGAGCCTCACTGACAGCGTGGAGCCTGTGCAAGGAGAGGCCAGGGAGGGTTCTCCCCACGACAAGCCTACTGCACAGCCGATCGTGCAGGACCACCAGGAGCACCCAGGCTTGGGCAGCAACTGCTGTGTGCCATTCTTTTGCTGGGCTTGGCTGCCAAGAAGAAGGAGATAAACATGACCATCGTCAAAGAGCTGCTCAAGAAATTTTTAAAAAAGAAACAAAGTTATGGGGTTAATCTCCTACACAATTCATTTACTTCGTTTGAATGTTATAGCCACTTATGATTATTTGTGTTTCTAATTTATAGTTTAAGTTTATTTGTAAATAGTTAAAAGAGAGTGGGTCTCTGTGGCTTTCACTGATGTTCACTCTGGCATACTTTCGCAATTTTCTTTTTCAATTTCATGATTGTAGGTTATTAGCATGCATATTGAGTTTGCCCTTACGTGGTGGGAGTTCAAACACACAAAGACCCACTATTTGCACAAAACTATTCTTGCTGGTTTGGAATAGGCTGCCATGTGTTTTTAATGTTATTGCAGCATGTATATTCATTACAGAATTCAGATAAAATTTGCCTATGTTCTGCTATTGTTTGATCTAATCTTAATCACAGTGAGCTCTTCATTAGCACAATATGTGGTTTGCCCCAAGTGTGCACTATTTAATACTTTGTAATATGCCACCAAGAGTACTGACATTTAGAGTTGTTTAAAGGCCGAGAACTGGAAACAGCCTTTCCCTCATTTTCTGTGTATTGGTGATGGGAGTAATAACATTTTGGGGGAGCTTTTTAAATTTCACAGAAGAGGAAAGTTGCCTGCTCTGGCAGGTATGTGCAAGATAGAGTGTGTTTCATTTGTTCTGTTGCCAAGAATTAGTGCTGTACTATTGTAGTTCCTTTAGGATTTGTATGTGCTCTGGGCTCATGAAGATATTGCATCATGAGCTGCAGCAGTTGTACTCTTTTTTGATGACCTAAAAAGGGCTTATTTCTGAGGAATGAAAGGTTCCCATCATTGACTATGGATGTGGAAAACCTTTCCTAGCTTAGAGCATTTGTATCTATATTTTAAAGTCAGAGTTCATGTTACCTGTTTTAATCACATGACTGCATGTCCCAGTACACAAAAGGGCACTGGTTGGCATTCTTCTTAATGTATTTAGTAAAGATCAGAAGAAATCCTTTAAGAGTTTAAATGTCCCTGGAACACGCATACAGGCTCTAGTCAAGAATGAATTAGAGTGAAGGAAAGCTGTGTGACACCTGGCATTCCTCTGTTCATGGAGCTTCTTTGAGGCTTGAAGATTGATTTTACCATCTAGACCACTCTGCCTATTCTTCAACCACCTTGGTTACTTTGACATAGGAATTGACTTCTTTTCCTTGAATGGAAAACACTTTGAAATAATAATAAACATTGTTATAAACTAATATATGTGAGAGTGCTTAGTTGAAACAAAAAGGAGTTTTAGTAGACAGTATTATACTATCTTTGAAAATCAAGGAGAAGTTTATGCAACTTAAAATGTGTACAAACTGCAGTGCAATCTACTGTTGGTGAATGTCAGTGTATTATCAGGAAACATGTCTATACAATCACAGAGTTATATTTCCTCACAAACTTCTTTGTGAAGAGTGAAATGTGTTTCTGTACCTCTGGGTTTCACTTACGGGCATATTTTGTGCAGTATTTATGTGATTGTGCCTATGCATGATGAATGAATGAATTTCAGTTGTACATTGCCTAAATCATAACTTGATGATGCTTGGGAAAGACTCAACAGTTAAAACTTCATGAAGTTCTAATGTCTGTGTTCCAAAACACATCACATTATTAGGATGTAGGGAGATATGTATGTGTGCTCCCTGGGGTGGGGATTTCTAGTTACTAGACCATCTCCATTTTTAGCATTTGGCATCCTCATGATACTTTTATAAATACGACATTAACAGGAGAGCAGCAGTACGATTTTGCCGATGGAATAACAGATTTGCCGGCAATCACTGAAAGAGTGCAAATATCGGGTCCTTGTGACTTCAACGGACTCTACCAAATTGTATGAATGTATCAATGTATTAGATAAACCCAGTTTCAGAATGATAAAGAAAAAATGTTAGACCAAATAATGCGGCTAGTTAACAGTGGTACGATTTCTAGCCCGTGGCTTTAAAATGCACTTAAAGTCCTGTCCTTGCCTTTTATTTTCTGAACTTGATGTTTTTGCATTCTTTGAGTTCAGTTTAAAGACAACTACGAGCATCTGTAACCAATCTGACAATAATGTGTTCATCAGGTGCCTATGGATTAAATCACATACTGGCATATTTAAGCTGAATGTCAATCTGGAAAATAAATTGACTGTATTAACAGAAATACCACTCTTTGTGTAGATATTTGTCGTATATTTAAGAAAAAGCTAAAAAGAATGGAAATCGCATGACTATAACTTAAGTCTTTCTTCAAAGTGCATGCAGTCTTTTGCGATACCTCATTCAGCCAAGTATTGGTATTCTTCCTCATTCGGTATAAGGCAGCTTTCAATTTGCTTAGAAGGCAACATTGGAAGGTTAGAGTTCATCAGAAACAGAATTCTAAAATGTGAGTTCAATTCAATAAATTTGAATGTCTGTAGGAAGAATCAAATCACCGATTTAAAGAGTGCAATATATAATAATCATTTTTAAAGTATTGGATTAAATCTGATAGGTTTTCCAGAAATGAACAAAAATCAGCTCTAAAACCAAAGCTGATTTTTAGAAAATTTGAAAATGTAAATCAGCCCTATCCATACTATAGTTTCTCTAAAACTTTATCTGAAAGAGTCATTTTAAAATAACTATTAAACAATGTAACTGCTATCTTAATGTTCTGAAATAAGTTAAAACATTTTAAAATATGAATACTGTAAAGGAAATAAATGGTGGGAAGGAAAAGTAGAGAAAGAAATGCCAATTCCAGTCCAAAGCTTTATTTGCCAAGTTTTCTTAGAATGAATTTTACCAATTTATGAATTCTTGTAAGCGGAATGTAAAACGGAAATACTGAAAGACTTTTGCCTAAAGTGGCATTATTGACTGCTGGTGTGATGCTACTGTAATGTAATAAATTATTAAGTTGTTGCAAAGTGCTGTTTTTGCCTTAAAATTTTATTCTGTGTGTCTTGAAAAATATAGTATTAAAGGTATTGATACTGTGCAAATGCTGAGCATGCTTGGCATGAGATAATGTTTCATTTTTACAAAATTGTAATATAACTATGCAAGGGTTTATTAAAAGAACACAAAATAAAAAAGTTATGGGATTAACAAAAGTTATGGGGTGAAAAAGTTATGGGATAAAAAATGTAAAAAAGTTGTGGCAAAAAAATCTTGTGACCAAAAAGTAGAAGAAAGTTTTATGAAAAGTTACCAAAAAAAGTTATGAAAAAGAAGTTATGGGATTTAAAAAAAAAGGCATGGGATAAAAATAAAAATTAAAATTAAAAGCAGGCCCCTGTCAGCAAAGCCTGGAGAAGTGGGGCTGGGGTCTCTCCACCACCACACTGTCCCTATCTCCCCTTCCCAGTCACCCCTTTACAATTAGGGTAGCAAGACAAGACCACTGTCTAACGAGGAAAGACAAACAGACCCTTTGCCACCTTGACCAGAGCTGAGTCCTTAAATTTCTGGATGATATTGTTATTTAAGAGCCAGAGGCTGGTGGAGTTGGTTTGTTTGGAGGAGGCCTCATGGCCTCCTTACTCTCACCATAGCAACTTTTCCCTCAGTGGGGGCTCCAATCTTCTTATTCAGAGAGGTAGCTGAGGCAGGACAGTGGGGCTAACTGTGGACCAGGCGAAGGCATGGGCTGCTGGGGTGGCCCCCCTTCCCCGGTGTATATATTGTGTCTGTGTAAGGTTTTGTATATTCCAGAGGGTAGGGCCACCCCTGTATCATACCTAGCGGTGGTTGGAGGTGGCACATGGGGAGGAGGTTCTAATAATTATTTGTGGCTGGGAAACTTACTTATTGCTAGCATAGGACAGAGGAAGAAGGCAGGGATGGGGTCATGGCTTCCCAGTGGTGTGATCACAGTTCACTGCAACCTCCAACTCTCATGCTCAAGTGATCCTCCCACCTCAGCCTCCCAGGTAGCTGGGAGTATAAGCATGCACTACTATGCCTGGCTAATTTTTAAATTTTTTGTAGAGAAAAGGTCTTGCTATGTTGCCCATGCTGGTCTTGAACTCCTGGGCTCAAGCGATTCTCCCATCTTGGCCTCCCAAAGCACTGGGGTTACAGGCATGAGACATTGCTCCTGTCCATAAGATTTTCTCTTTATTACTGTTTTGTTGTTGGTGGTGGTGTTTTGTTTTGTTTTTATTTTTTGACAGAGTCTCGGTCTGTTGCCTAAGCTGGAGTGCAGTGGTGCAATCTCTGCTCACTGCAACCTCCGCCTCCTGGTTCAAGCAATTCTTATGCCTCAGCCTCCCGAGTACCTGGGGTTATAGGCATAAGCCACTGCGCCTGGCTAATTTTTGGATTTTTAGTAGAGACAGAGTTTTGCCATGTTGGCCAGATTGGTCTTGAACTCCTGGCCTTAAGCAATCCGCCCTCCTCAGCCTCCCAAAGTGCTGGGATTACAGGTGTGAGCCACTGCTCCTGGCTAAGATCCCATCTCTATTTAAATAAAAAAAGAAAATTCAGAATCTATGGAACACAGAACACCAAAGGCCAGTTATTTACCTCTCTGAGGTAATCTGTGTAAACAATTTGATATATATCCTTTCAAGTTCATACTTGCTATGCATACATATATATACACACATACATTGACATATTCCCCCTTCCCTGCTGTCATGCTATTAGTCTTCTTTTTTTTGTAGAAATTGGACCAACTCTATGTTCTTTGCTGGCCCGTATTTCTCCTATTCAGTGATGTGTTATGAATATCTGTTTAAGTCAATGTATGCAACTCTTTAATATCATTTTAAAAGGTTACGACATACGATCATATGAAGGCATTAGAATTTATTCCAACAGTTCCCTTTTGCACATTTAATAATTTCCATTGATTTGCCAGGAAGAACATTCTCGTGTCATGGCTAAATCCTTTTGTATGGACATCCTTAATTATTCCCTTAAGATAAACTTTTAAATAAAGTTGCTAGATTAGTCTCGTTTCTTAAGTTCCTTTTTGGTAGTTTATATGTAACACTGTAGTTTTATATGTACTTACAAATACCTATAGTGCCAGTAGAAAATGGGATAAAATTAAACTCTTTCACATATGCCAAATATATTTTGATTTAGTGCTTTATTAAGTGCATGATTACAGTCTCTGTATCTTTTGATTTACCTTTCTATCTTTACAATTTTCAGCCGAGACACTTAGCGGTCACATAATAAATTAAGGTTTTCTTTTTTTAATAATCTCCATCTTTCTAAATATGGTGAGTCACAGTCAGCTATTTTTGGATTGTTGAAAGCTGTGACTGTTCTAAATCGGAGCCCAGAAATCATGCCACTTACCAAATATGCTTTGTCTTCCAACATCAGAGTGTCTGGTAGAAGGTGACTGTTCTTGGAATTTAAAAAATCTGAACAGGACAAGACAAGAATCTGGACACTTTTTCTGTTTCTGATAATATGATTGAGTAGGTAGACATGCTGGATAATCCTTGCAAAGACATACTTGAACTTCCCCAAAAAAAAAATAAAATCCAGAATCTCTAAGAATGAAGATGGAGTGAAAATCAGAAGGGCTGCTGAGAGAATAATGGGGAAGCAGCCCCAGTTATCAAGGGACATGTCCATGTGTTCAATAGAAAGTTTCAGATGTAAAAAAAAGTTGAGAAAAATAATATATATATTATATATAATAAATGATATAATTGCCCTACATATACACATCATCAACAATTTTTCATTCATGGTATGGACAGTTTTTTTTTTTTTGGTTGTTTTTTGTTTGTTTGTTTGTTTTTAAAGGTGGGATTTTGCTGTGGTTGCCCAGGCTGGAGTGCAGTGGCATGATCTTGGCTCACTGCAACTTCCACCTCCCAGGTTCAAGCGATTCTCCTGCCTCAGCTTCCCGAGTAGCTGGGATTACAGGCACCCGGCACCACATCCGGCTAATTGTTGTATTTTTAGTAGAGATGGTGTTTCACCACGTTGGCCAGGCTGGTCTTGAACTCCTGACCTCAGGTGATCCACCTGCCTCGGTCTCCCAAAGTGCTGAGACTACAGGCGTGAGCCACCACACCTGGCCACAGCCAGTTTTGTTTCATTTACATTCCCACTTCATTTATATACATTCCTTCTTCCTCTGAATTATTTTGAAGTAAAACCTATACATCCTATCATTTTTAATTACCTTATATGTATCTGTAGAAGACAAGGAATTCTTAAAAATAAATATATTCACAATGCCATTAAATATCAAAAAATTAATATTCTGAAAATAGCCACAAATCCAGAGTTGACATTTTGTTGACTTTCTCATAGGTGATTTTTTTTCTAGTTTATCTATTTCAATCAGATAACTGTTTGCTCATATTTACATTCCTTACTGAACAATGTCTAAACTTAAACTGACATAAAATGGAGATGATCTTCTAACCAGATGCTTAGTGTAAGAAAAAACTTCAAACTGCAAGAGGAGTCCCTCCAAATACAGAAAGGATCAGTATTTTAAGAGGTATGTTAACTAAAATGTGGCAATGTAAGGAGCAAAGCAGGAAGAACCTTTAAGTCCTCAACTTACAAGTCAATTTCATAGTCAGTTTCCCTGGTCCTTCCACAACAACCTCCCCCATCTGTTTTCTCTACAATGGAGGTAACAATAGTAGCTATTCCAGAGCAGGAAAAGGCTTAGAGCAGTGCTAGAAGAGGGTCGTGGCTATATAAAGTTTAGCTATTTGTATATTGTAACAAACCTACAACTTTTTTTTTTTTGTCAATAATACATTTCTTTTGGAAAAGTGGCACCCTCCTGTGGGGGACACCTGCAGTTCCACTAAGCGAACATCGGTGTCTGCTAACCTTTGCCTCTTTGTCTCTCAATAATATACTGTCAAGCTGTTCCTTGATTTAGCACTTTTGTATACTTTTTTTTTTCCTCTCCCGTTTCCTGAGACACAGTCCCTCTCTGTTGCTCTGTCTGGACTGCAGCAGCGCCATCATGGCTCACTGCCACCTCCACCCCCGGGCTCAAGCAATCCTCCTAGATCAGCCTTGGGAGCAGCTGGGACTACCTGTGGGGCGGCTAATCTTTGTGGTTTTTGTTTTGTTTTTCCGTTATGGGACCGGGTTTCGGGCCAGGCTCAGTGACTCACGCCTGCAATCCCAGCACCCCGGGAGGCCGAGGCCGGCGGATTACCTGAGGGAGGAGCTCCAGACCACCCCGACCAACATGGAGAAACCCTGTCTCTACCAAAAAAAATAAAAACTAAACAACTAATGGGGTATTGTGGCACATGCCTGCAATCCCAGCCACTCAGGAGGCACCATTTATTAATCTTTTTGACATCAGATGCTCAGTGGCTCACACCTGTAATCCCAGCACTTTGGGAGGCCAAGGCAGGTGAATCGCTTGAGCCGAGGAGTTCAAGACCAGCCTGGCCAACGAGGTGAAACCACGTCTCTGTTGAAAATACAAAAATTAGCCGGGCATGGTGGCACACACCTGTAATCCCAGCTACTCAGGAGGCTGAGACAGGAGAATCGCTTGAACCCAGGAGGTGGAGGTTGCAGTGAGCCGAGATCACAGCATTCCACTCCAGCCTGGACAACAGAGTGAGACTCTGTCTCAAAATTAAAAAAAAAAAAAAAAAATTAACCAGCCATGGTACCACACACCTGTAGTCCCAGCTACTCTGGGGCTGGTGGGGGAGGACTATTTGAGCCCAGGAGGTCGAGGCTTTAGTGAGTTTGATCATGCCACTACACTCTAGCCTGGGCGGCAGAGTGAGTTCGTGTCTCAAAACAAAACAAAAATAGTTTCCAGCCAGGCGCGGTGGTTCACGCCTGAAATCTCAACACTTTGGGAGTCCAAGGTGGCGCATCATCTGAGGTCAGGAGTTCCAGACCAGCCTGGCCAACGTGGTGAAACCCCATCTCTACTAAAAATACAAAAATTAGCTGGGCATGGTGGCTCATGCCTGTAATCCCAGCTACTCAGGAGGCTGAGACAGGAGAACCGCTTGAACCCAGGAGGCGGAGGTTGCAGTGAGCCAAGATCGCACCATTGCATTGCAGCCTGGGGCAACACAGTGAGACTCTGTCTCAAAAAAGAAAAAAAAAAAGCTAGGCGTGAGAAGTGCCTTGATTTTGTATTTTCAATCTGCCAATACTTGCACAGGCTCTGGCTGCAAAACTTTTGCCGGTCAAACATTCGCATTTGAGAAACCACGTCCCTGCTGAGAGATAGATCTAGACACAGCTTTAACTACATCATCAGTAGACACATGACTGGTTTTCTTTGTTTGTTTGTTTGTTTGTTTGTTTTGAGACGGAGTCTCGCTCTGTCGCCCAGGCTGGAGTGCAGTGGCGTGATCTCAGCTCACTGCAACCTCCACCTCCTGGATTCACGCCATTCTCCTGCCTCAGCCTCCCGAGTAGCTGGGACTACAGGCGCCCGCCACCACGGCCGGCTAATTTTTTGTATTTTTTAGCAGAGACGGAGTTTCACCGTATTAGCCAGGATGGTCTGGATCTCCTGACCTCGTGATCCGCCTGCCTCGGCCTCCCAGAGTGCTGGGATTACAGGCGTGAGCCACCGCGCCCAGCGACATATGACTGTTTTTAACCAGAGGGAGGAAAATGGCTTTCAGATGGTTGTGTAGCTGGTTTTAACAGCCTTCAGCAGCGACACTGGCAGCCTCCGACCTCTCAGACCGAGTAAGCCAAGCGAAGCCTGTAGGCGCACGCTTGCAGCTCAGCGCCCGCGGGGACTCCGGAAGCCTCTCCCAAGTGGCGCGGTCCGCAAGGGGCGGCTACAGCTTGGGCGCAGGCGCCGCTGGCTCACCGGTTCTCTTGGGCTCCCCTGGGACGCCGTAGGATCGCAGGCGCGCAGCCCTCCCGGCCGCTCTGGCCGCCCTGCTCCTCCTTTGAAGAAAGATAGGGCCGCTGGCAGGGGCCCTCCGCAGCCACCGGGGATGGGGCTGAGGCCAGTTTTTGTTTTTAGTGCAGCCGCCGCCAGGCCGACCGCCGGGCTTGGCTGCAGCCACGGCGACACTGGCCCGAGTTCTGCGAGGCTGGGGGTGCTGGCGGGCTTGGAGGTTGCCTGGCAGCTGCTGCCTGCAAAAAGAAAAACAAACAAAAAAGCAGCTGCAGCTTGGGCGCCCAGGGCTAGCGGGGCATGGCCTGGGCAGTCTTGGGATTGCGAGCGCGCGCGGCCTGAGAGTCCGTACCCTTCGCCGTGCCTCCTGCCCTCCTCCTCTGCCGGACCTCAGAACTGCTGGCCAGGCCGTCCGAGGGAGTCCGGACCCCACTCCGCAGCCTACAGAGATGGGGTTGAGCGGCAGGTTCTCAGTTCTCGCCCCTCTGCAGCCGCCGCCGGGCAGACCGCCTGGCTTGGCCGCAGCCACGGTGACATTTGGCCCTGGTTCTGCGATGCTGGGAGCGCGAGCGAGCTTGGGAGTTGCCAGGCAGCTACTGCTTGCAGGCGGAGGGCGGCTACAGCTTGGGTGTCCAGGCAGTGGAACATGGCCTGGGCGGCCTCTGGATCGCGAGTACACCGAGCCTGAGAGCCCGCCAGGCCCTGCCCCCGCCTCTGCCAGAGCTCAGGACCGCTGGCCAGGGGCCCTCCGCAGCCACCGGGGATGGGATTAAGTGGCAGGTTCTCGCCCCTGTGTAGCCGCCATCGGGCAGACCATCTGGCTTGGCTCTAGCCACCGGGACATCTGTCCCTGGTTCTGAGATGTTACGAGTGCAGGCGGGCTTAGAGGTTCCCCAGAGGCTGCTGCCTGCACACAGAGGGTGGCTGCAGCTTGGGTGCCCAGGCGGGCTGGAGGGGCCTGGCCCGGGAGGCCTGCGGATCGCCAGGGCGCCCAGGCTGAGAAGCCCCAAGCCGCGCATCCCGCCCGGCTCTTCCACCACAGGGAGACAGGAGCTGCTGGCATGGGGACTCCGCAGTCACCTGTGATGGCTTTGAGCGGCAGGTTCTCAGTTCTCACTCCTGTGCAGCCGCCGGGACATCTGACCCCGGTTCTGCGACGCTGGCAGCGCGACCGGGCTCGGGAGTTGACAGGCGGCTGCTACCTGCACACACAGGGCAGAGGGCAGCTGCACCTTGGCCTGGGCAGCCTCCGAAATGCGTGCGCGCCAGGCCTGAGGGCCCCCCTGGTGGTGCCACCCGCCCCGCTCCTCCTCTGCCGGAGCCTGGAGCAGCTGGAATGGCCACTCTGCAGTCACTAGGGTTATGGTTAAGTATTCTTATCCCATGCATGCACACAAAAAAGGTAACTATTATGCGAGGTAATTAATATGTTAATTTACTTCATTTTGGTAATCATTTCAAAATGCGCATGTAGATAGAAACATCACATTGTAAACTTTGAATATGTACAATATTTATTTCTCAAATATACCTCAGTAAAGCTGAAAAAAAATGAACAGGATTGAAAGGATAAGCACACAGTTCTATAATAGTAGTTGGACACTTCAATACCTCATTTTAATTAATGGATAGAAAAACCAGACAGAAGCTTCATGAGAAATAGAAGACTTGAACAACAGTATAAGCCATTTAGAGCTAATACACATATACAGAACAGTCCACCCAAAAACAGCAGAATATACATTCCTTTTAAGTGGATATGGAACTTTCTCTAGGATAGGACATATCTTCGTCCACAAAAATATGTCCTAATCATTTACAAAAGTTTTAAATCATACAAAATATAATTTACAACCACAATGGAGGAAACATAAATAAAAAATGAAACCTGAAAAATTCACAAATATGTAGAAATTAAACAATACACTCTTAAACTACCAGTGAAAGAATAAATCATAAGTGAAATTATAAAGTATCTTAAGACAAATAAAAACAAAACATACCAAAACTTAGTGACTGCAGTGAAAGTAGAGTTTGAAGGAAAATGTATGGACATAAACAACTACATTTAAAAAAAGCTCAAATCAGTAACCTCACTCTACACCTAAAAGGCAGTATAAAAACCAGAGAAAACTAAATCTGAAGCTAGCAGAAGTAAAGAAATAATAAAGATTAGAGCATAAATCAATAAAATAGAAGGTTGGAAAGCAGTAGAAGAAATAAACGTAGCTAAAAGTTGGTTCTTTGAAAAGAGTAATCTCACCTCAGTAGCCTAAGATTCTTCTTTAGGAACGTAGAGAAAGAACAACAACTTAAATCTAAGGAACTAAAGAAAGGAGCTAATAACAATTAGGGCAGAAATAAGTGAAATTCAAAACCAAAGAGAGAAAAAGGGAAAGAGAAGAGAGACTACAGATTACTAACAGCAGGACTGAAAGACAAGCTATCAATACACACTATACCATAAATAAGTAAAGCTAAAAATAATTTTATGCACACAAATCTAATAGATGAGATGAAAAAAATAAATTCCTCTAGAGACACAACACATACTACCAAGTCTCACTGAAGAAGAAACAGGTAACAAATAGTCCTGTATTAATTAAGAAATTGCATTTGTAAATAAAACCTACCAAAAAATCTAGTCACATGTTCTTTCACTACTGATTTCTATCAAATATTTGAAGGATAAATAATTTTGACTGTACACAATCTTTTAGAGAAAATAGATGAGATGGGAGCACTCCCAACTCATTTTATAAGGCCAGCATTACAATAACACCAAAACCAAAAAATGATATGGAGAGAAAAGAAGACTATAGACAAATATCAGTCATGGACATATATGAAAAAATATCAACAAAATATTGTGACATCAAATTGAACATCTCCCCATGTAGGATGATTCATTATGTCCAATAAAAACAAGGCTGATTCACTATTAAAATCCAATCCAAGTAATCTGCTATAGAATATTTTTAAAATATTCTTCTCAAGAGATGCAGGAAGAGCATTCGATGAAATCCAACATCTATTTCTGACCAAAACTCATACAATTAGGAATAAAAGAACTTAGGATATATGTTTATATCTGTATACTATATGGTGATGACTGAATGATTTTTCCTTAAGACTGGGGACAGGTCCTATTCAATATTGTATTAGAAAATTTGCAAAGTGCAATAAGACAGGAATAAGAAATAAATAACATACATATTGCAAAGGAAGAAGTAAAACTGCCTCTATTTGCTGATAAAACTAATCTTTATATACACAGTCTACAGTATTTATGAAAAGCTTCTAAAACAAATACGTGAAATTAAGTGTTTTATTATCAAAGGTCAATATAGAATGTCAATAATTTTCCTATGTGTGAGTAATTAACAGTTGAAAAAATTAAATTACTATTTAAAATAGAAGCAAAAATTAAGTGCTTAGGTATTAATGTAACAATAGAAGTGCAGGATCTGTATGCTGAAAACTACAAAATATAAATGCAATAAATAGAAAATTTAAAAAGAGGGGAATGAAATATTTATGAATTCAGAGTCTCAATATAGTTAAGATGCCAGTCTTTTCCATTTCTGCTTGTAGAGTTCCTTCATTAACAATGAAAATTCCTGTAAGTTTTTTTTTTTTTGTAGATATCACCAAGGAGATTCTAAAATTTACATGGAAAACAAAATAACTAGAATTGTCAAAACACTTCTGAAAAAAAGTTAGAGGACATAAACTACTGATTACAAGGCTTACTATTATGCTACAGTTCTCAAAATATTGTGGTTTTGTTAAAATATTGTTAAAACACTAGATACGTAGACCAATGGAATGAATACAGACCCCAGAAATAGACCCACACAAATATATTCAACTGCATTTTGAAAAAGATGCAGAGGAAAAGGGGAAAGTATAATCTATTCTGTAAATGGGGATGTAATAATGGGATCTCCCCATGTAAAAAAAAAATGAAACTTAATGCGTATTTTACACCTTTTACAAAAGTGGACTGAAATAGACCATATAAAAGTGTAAAGTATACAGCAATAAAATACTATCATAAAACAGGGGAAATTAGGTATGACTTTGGGGTCATTGATGAGTTTTTAGATAAAACACCATACACATGATCCATAAAAGAAAAAATGAAAAAGCAGACTTTGTTATATCTAAAAATGCTCATTCTGTGAAAGAAGCATTACAGAGCAAAAAGCTAAAACAATCAGGGAAAAATATTAAGTCACTGTATTAGTCTGTTCTGCTGCTGCTATAAAGAACTGCCTGAGGCTGGGTAATTTACCAGGAAAGAGGTTTAATTGACTCACAGTTCCATGAGGCTGGCAAAGCCTCAGGAAACTTACAATCATGGCAGAAGGCAAACAAACATGTTGTTCTTCACATGGTGGCAGGAGAGAGAAGTGCTTAGCAAAGGAAGAAAAGCCCTATATAAAACCATCAGATTTTATGAGAACTCACTCACTATCTGAGAACAGCAGCATGGGGGTAACCTGCCTCCATGATTCTACTACCTTCTGCCAGGTCCCTCCCACAACACATAGGGATTATGAGAACTACAATTCAAAATGAGATTTGGGTGGGGACACAGTCAGACCATATCAGTCACGTATCTTATACAAGCTTTTATCCAAAATGAATAAAGAACCCTTAAAACTCAACAATACAAAACAAACAATCCAATTTAAAACAAGCAAAAATCTTGAGCACGTACATCTCAAAAGAAGACAGACATATGGCAAATAAGCATATGAAAACATGTTTATTGTTATTAATAAGGGAATGCAAAACATAACTACAATGGGATACTACTACATGCCATTAGAATAGAAATAAAAAATTAAAATATCAAATGCTCCTGAAGATGTGTAGCAACAAAGATTCTCTTTCATTACTGTTGGGAATGTAAAATGACATGGTCACTTTAGGAGATAATTTGGCAGCTTTTTATAAAGTAAAACATATGTCCAGTGTGAGGTTCAGCCATTCCACTCCTATGTATTTATCAATGTGTAATGAAAACAAATTCACATAAAAGCCCGTAGTCTAGGCAAATGTTTTAGCAGCTTTACTCATAATCTCCAAAACCTGGAAACAACCAAGACATCTTTCTTTTTTTTTTTTTTCTTTTTTGAGACGGAGTCTCGCACTGTCACCCAGGCTGGAGTGCAATGTCACGATCTTGGCTCACTGCAACCTCCGCCTCCCAGGTTCAAGGAATTCTTCTGCCTCAGCTTCCCAAGTAGCTGGGAATACAGGCACCCACCACCATGCCTGGCTAATTTTTTGTATTTTTAATAGAGACAGGGTTTCACTATGTTGGCCAGGCTGGTCTCGAACTCCTGACCTCATGATCTGCCCGCCTTGGCCTCCCAAAGTGCTGGGATTATAGGCATGAGCCACCGCACCCAGCCTAACCAACACATCTTACAACAGGTGAACAGATAGACTATTGCATCAATACCATCAACTGCTATTCAGCAATACAAAGGAACAGACTATTCACTTACACAACAGTACAGATGAACTTACATGTGTTTTGCTGTGTGAAAGAAGTCAGCCCCAAATGTCTACATATTGTATGATTTCATTCGTATAACATTCCGGAGAAGGCAAAATTATAGGTCAAGAAAACAGATCAGAGTTTGCCCACAATTGGGAGAAAGGGAAGGGTTGATCACAAAGGCATCACACACAGAATTTTAGGGTGATGCGGCTGTTCTGTGCAGTGCTGGAGGGTGGACACGTGTCTCTATGGTTTCTCAAACCCTACCAAATGCTACACTACAAAACCTCTTTCTTATTTTTTGCAAAATAAAAATAATAATAAAAAAATCCACCAGGAAGTCAGAGGATTCCAAGAGGAAAAAGAAACTGATCAAAGACACTTTGGAAAATGGTATTTTGATTGGATACTCTAAGGTTAAGACCAAACAAGCTGCATAGAAACACTCCACTTTGGTTGGTAATTTTGTTTATCACAGGGGCAAATGATAATTTTGACACCAGGCTAGAAAAAATAAGTAAGTAAGTTGCAGATAATGTGAGCTAGAGTTTTTACTGTTATGAAATGACTTTTTCTTGTAGTGTTGAGAATGTTTCTTTTTTTTTTCCCAATCATGTGTTAATTCTCCCCAGGATTCTCACCAACCTATTCAAGTATATTTTAAAATACTTATGATTTTAAGACAAAAACACATGTGTTTTCAGCCCAGTTGGAGAAGCCTCATTACTATCACATCCTTTGTGTTCTAAATGAAAGTCTGCACATAAAACAACAAAGGAGCATGGGAAGTGTTGGAAAAATATAATAAGGAAGACAGACTCCCTGGGGAATGACACAGTGGTATGTTCCTTGGGTCTCCTGTTCTTCTCATCTGCCCTGGAGAGAGTGCTGCAGAAGCCTCCAACCAGAAACCACACCCAACAAAACCAAACCTAATAAAACCCCAGCTGTCTCAGCCAAAGAACCTGGAAAATAATGGCCTAGCAAGGAATACCCACCTGAGTGTAGCCAAACATCAATGGAAACCCCCCCTGCGAACACCATAGTTCAGTGAAATCAAGTGTGGAGCTGATGATCCACTTCACTTACACAGAGTGGAAGGAATCAGCAGTGCTCTGATTCCCTTGCCGGATGGTGTCAGTGGGGCCAAGAAGGGAGATAAATCTTCTGTCTCCCACATTGCAAAAGAAGGTGGCATTCTGGTATTTCCATTTTTTTTTTTTTTTTTTTGAGACGGAGTCTCGCTCTGTCGCCCAGCCTGGAGTGCAGTGGCGCGATCTCAGCTCACTGCAAGTTCCACCTCCCGGGTTCACGCCATTCTCCTGCCTCAGTGTCCCGAGTATCTGGGACCACAGGCGCCCGCCACCACACCCGGCTAATGTTTTTGTATTTTTAGTAGAGACGGGGTTTCACCGTGTTAGCCAGGATGGTCTCGATCTCCTGACCTCGTGATCCACCTGCCTCAGCCTCCCAAAGTGCTGGGATTACAGGCCTGAGCCACTGCGCCCGGCCTACAGTTATCTTAAATATAAATTGTGTACATGTGTCAATTAAAATACAAGGAATATCAACCTGAACACGGAAACACGATACAAAAATACGTACGTTACTTATCTCAATTGATGCAGAAAGAGCATTTGCCAAAATATAGCACAGTTTTATGATAAAAACTTTCAGAAACCTAGAAATACAAGGAAACTTCCTGAACTTTATCAAGAGTATTTATCAAAAACAAACAGCTATGTCATGCTTAATGATGAAAGAATGAATGGTTTTCCCCTCAGGGTGGAAACAAGGCAGAGACACCTGCTCTCAACAATGCTATTTGACAGAGCACCGAAAGTTCTAGTCGGCACAATTGGGCAAGAAACAAGGCATACTGATTGAAAAAAAAGAGAAAGAAGGAAAGTGGCCTCTATTGCAGATTACACGATTGTCTTTGTAAAGTCTCAGAGAAACTAAAAAAAGTCTTGTAGAAATAATATTTAGCAAGTTCACAGGATAATGATCCATCCTCCAAAATTCATCATATTTCTATGAACTAAAAATGAATGTGTGGAAACTGAATATACCTTTACAATTGCTCTAAAGAAAATACTTAGGCATAAATCTGACAAGACATGCAGAATCAAGATGGCAAAAATTACAAAATGTGCATGAATTGAGAGAAGAACTAAAATTCAAACATACCTTATTAATGGTTTGGAAGACTCACGATAGCAAATATGTCAACTCTCTTCAAATTGATGGGTAGACTTAATGACAGTCATATCAAAACACCAGCTACATATTTTTATGCATATAGATAAACCTATTTTAAGTTTATATGAAAAGGCACATGATACTGGTGGAGAGATGGACACATAGGTCAGCAGAACAGAATGAAGAACTCAGAAATTGACACAAGTAAATATGCCCAACTCATTTCTCATTTTTGACAACGGTACAAAAGTAATTGAAAGAGAAAGAATAGTCTTTTTAACAAATGTTACTGGAGAAAATAAACACAGGCTCAAAATCTCAGTGTAAACCTTGCACTTTATACACTAATTAACTAGAAATGGTTTGCAAACTTAAATATAAAAGGTTGTACTATAAACCTTTTAGGAAAAGAGTTCTAAAGAAGTTATTGGGATCTAGGGCTAGATAAAAGTCCTTTGTTCTTATTTACATGTATCTATTAATTTTTTTTTATTTTCAGTAAAAGATCAATGTGTACGTGTACTTATTCTAAAAAAGAAAAAATGTTCAATGTGCTCTTCCAGGTTAATAGACAAATCAAATAGACTCACCTTTCTTTATGAACCCATAGTGTATCAGTGATCCAGCCATTATTGTTTTCCTGAGAGGAAAATTCTCTTTATGCTCATCACACTTTTGGAGCATTGAACCAGAGGGCCTAACGTGAGGTGAACACGCTGCCAGTGGAGGTGAGCAGGAAGGAAATTTCCAAACCCAAGAACTGACAGAAACTGCTGGAGAGAGAAAGTTACTTGGGCAAGTCTAGAGACCAATTGCGTTGTGCCCTTCTCTGTAGAATAATAAAAACGGAGTATTCAAGAAAAAAAATAGGACAAGTGATACTAACCAAATGATGTTACAACACACCCATGTCTGTATGTGTATACAGACCTATGCACATATACACACATAGATATGTGTAATATGTGTGTATTTATAACTGAGGTTAAACTGTTAGGCAATAAGAATGCAGTCCTATTTTTCTACCCTCTCTTTTCTAACATCTTTCAAACAGATGATGTTTTGTAAGATTTTCAATTATTTTCAATAATTAAAAAAATTTCAAACAGAACAAATATGCATGCTGAATTATTTCTCAATCCCCTGTTTTACATGTGGCTTTAAGTACGTGACCTGTTATATAGATATTTCAGCATCTTAGATGTTAAAGTAAACACATAGCTGCTCCTCATTTTTGGAAGGGTGTATTTACAATATATGTGTCTGATGCAAGTTGTATATTTAAATTACTTAAAAATACATCTTCTTTGGTAAGAGTTTTTAAAAATAAATTTGTGGCACATTAGAATGTTTTTAAGAAAAATTGCTTTTTAATTTGTATTATCTAAACTTCAGAATTTTACTCTGAAGTATTTCAAAACTTACAAGAATATTCATATTTGATCTATAAAATAAGTAACTTAGATGGAATAATTTGAATTTGGAAATTTCTTTATACCACTAAATTTGAAGTATCAATGCCACATTTATTTTTACAAATTTTCCTTGAAACATTATATTGGCTACTGGAAAGAGCTAATACCCTTTATGAAAATATGATTTTAGTGATGCAACTTATATATGAGGTAGATTAGGAAGCTTTACTTCCTGTGCCCATTAACTAAGAAGATTTTATGAAACAATTTTTAACAGGGGCCACAGTCAGTACCGGGAGTGTGGTCAGGTGGTCAGGCACACCTCCCTCCTCATTGGGCCCACCAGAAGATTTCAGGGTTCTAGGAGAAACATACCCAGGCATGCAGAGATTGTCACAAGGGAGGAAGGGCCAGGGTGGGGAACCCAGCACAGGGGGCCTGCCCTCACAGGGGAGTCGGACAAGGTTTTCTGAGGAAGCTGTGTCCAAGCCGAGATCCTTCCCGCTCCATGTGCTCCAGCACAAGGCCTGCAGGAGGAGCCCTGTGAGCAAGGCCAACCTAGACCAGCCGGGTGGATTCCCTTGGCATTGAGGGGGAGCATGGCCTGAGGAGCTGAGCGCGGTCTCCGAAGGACGGCATCAGAGGAACTCTCACCGTTTCTATCATGAACACTTACAGTTTGACATCAGCATGGGAGTTGTGATTGGGTGATCTTGGGAAGGGTCTGTCAGCGGCTCGGGGGGTCGCTCTAAGTTGGACGCTGTCTGATAGAGGAGGCTTTTCTATTGTTCGGCATCTCATATCTCAAGGAATCTTATCTAGAAGAGGGCAGAGGGCCGCCAGGAGAAAGCCGCTGCTGGTAATGAGGAAGATGCTGCTCATTTTCACCAAGTGCAGTGCTAGGGATTTTAGCGGGTGGCAAAGTGACCTTGATATCTTTTCTCTGTGCAGGTCTCTGTTAGAGTCACTGTGAGTGTCTCTGTGGGGATCTCTGTGTTGGTTTTGAAGGGTCTCCGTGTGCGTCTCTGTCAGAGGTTTCTGTGGGGGGGTCCCTCTGGGGGGTCTTCATGGGGGGGGTCTCAGTGTTGGGGTCTCTGGGGGTCACTGTGGGGAATCTCTGAAATCTCAATGAATGTGGGGTCTTTGTGGGAATCTTTGCGTGTTGGGGTCTACCGGGGGTCCCTGTGGGGTTCCTCTGCTGCAGGTCACAGGATCCTGGGTCCCATAGATGTTGGGCCCACACTGGAGCTGCCCAGGTCACCACCCCAGACAGGACTTGGCTCCAACAGTAGCCTGGACACCCAAAGTGACACCAGGGCGTGTTCGAAACAGGTCCCCGGTGTGGGTCCCGCCAGGCCTGGGTACAGACCTGACACCTTGTCCTCAGCCTCCGCAGCCCCTGCAGGTGCAGAGCTCTCCCTGGGCAGAAGGCCCCTGGGCAGAGCCCTCTGAGGAACTGGCTCCTGCCTGCCCTGCCCTTGCTCCTGCCTTCCCTGGGGATGGCCAGGAAGGACCCAGTACCAGGACGAAGGGAGTGCAGGACTGGGCCCTGTGGGGACTGTCCCTGCCAACCATGTGACCAGATTCTCTGAGCCCCAATGTGTCCCTTGCCAGCACCTGGGCCTGGAACCATAGATGTGCTTTGTAACCCAGGCCAGCCCTTGCCTTCTGGGTCCCCCTCCCCTGGCAGTGGCACTGACCACTTTTGCTTGTAATGGTCACCAGACTGCAAGGACCCTGGTTACAGCTGTGGGCAGCTTGTGGATCCTGCACTTGCAAACTTATGCTCGTCTTCCCTGATTCTTCTCCCACCTCTCACCCTGGGCCCCAAGGTCTCCTCCTGTGATTCCTGACCACAGAGTCCTGCCAGAGGGGCAGGCAGCAGCCCTAGGTGCCTCCTGAAACAGACACCCCACACTAGTGGGCTGGGAGACTGCCCTGGAGAGTGAGGCAGGGGACACCAGACATGAACCCAGGGGTGTTATCAAGCCTGAGCCAAGTGCTGGAGGGGCCCAGGTCCATCCCAGATCCGGAACTCAGCAGTCAGGAAAGGGTCTGGGGAGGGTGTCATCTCTTCCCCACCAGGAGATCCCAGAAAGAGCAGTCCCCCCTCTGACCCAGGGCCAGCACAAGACACCCCCTACATTCCCAGGCTACTGTGAGGCAGGGAGGCTGCTGGGATCCATCACTCCTCCAGCCTGAGGGGAGCCTACCACCCCCCAGTCCGTGACGCCCCTGTAGACCCATCCCCTACAGCAGCACAGAAGTCGCCTTAGAACAGGGAATGCAGTGAGCCAGAGCCCGGGTGGGATCTCCGTAAGGTTTGCTGTCCTTACATATCCTGAAGGCTCTGGGTCATGATCCAGTTTGGAAACCAGACACAGTGTGGGGACAGGGAGAAAAGGGGGTCCTCCAGGTCCCTGTCAGCTTCCTCTAGGCCCAGCCATTCTGGAAGCCGCACTCAGGAGGAGCTGACACTGAGCCCTTGCCTGCAGCCTAGCATGGAACAGACAGAAGCCACCACCTCTGCAGGGAAAACAGGTATATTGGGAACTTCTCCGTGGAAGTCAGGAACACATGGGGACTGTTGTCACCCACGCAGGACAGGTTTGTTGTGTAGGCGTCCAGTGTTATTTGGATAGAACCCCCTGTCTCCTCCAGGAGAGGTGTGGGAAGCCTGGTCTGGTTCAGGAGGCAAGACACCTCTGTGTAGACCTCAGTTCCTGCAGCTGTGGATGGGGCTGCCCGAGGTGCTTGCCACTCATGGCCTGTGGTGGTGGGGACCAGCTGGGGACACAAGCTCCCTGGGAGGTGGGGGCCCAACTGCTGTCTCTGTCTCTGATGCCCTTGTTTTTGACAGGACATTTGTGGCCCTTGGGGGTGGCTTTGGGGCTGCAGACCAGCCCCATCTCTCTGCTATGTTCCTGGTAGTAGTGACTCCTGTGGCAGCAGGAAGGCACATTCTCCTGGGCGTGGAGGTCGCCTTTGTGGCGACTGACCTCTGAGGGACCACGTCCCTGCTGAATCCCCAGTTTGTCCACCAGGATTTGCCCCATAACTCTGATGATGGTCTGGGCTTCATCAGCCATGCTGTCCATAAACAACCTTGCTGGGCCAGACCCCCAGCTCTGGACAGCATCTGCCCAGGCTTGCCTTTCTGCAAGACGTCTTCCTGCCCTGAGCCCCTCTTCCTGGGATGTAGACCCTGTGGACGGTGACTGATCTTTCTCTGGAAGTTGCTTTCTGGTGGTGCCTGTCCCTTCTCTGGCTGAGGCTGATTGTATTTCCTTTCTTGTTTGTCTCCTATTTCCCTCGTGTGGGCAGGGTGGCTCCTCCCACTGGCTTGGGAGGTCCTGGGTCCTTTGGACCTGTGTCCCTGCTCCCCTGGTCTGGGCCTCCTGTGGGCCTTGCCCTTGTCCAAAGAGCCCAGCATCTTCTGACTCTTCTGTGGGGCCTTCACTTTTGGGCTCCCAGGTTCCTGCTGCCCCAGTCTGTCCCCTCCCTTCCATAGGAGGGCACATGGCCCCTGGGAAGCTGTCGTGTTCCTCCTACTGAGCACACTCTGGGAGGTGGACAGAGGGGCCTAAGTGGGTGGCCTGTATGTGGCTGGGAGCATGTCCACATGGCGGCCTGGAAGGCACAGGCCTGTGGCGCCCTCCTGGAGGAGGATGCTGGAAACACGGCCTGGCAGCTGCTCCTCTGAGTCCACCTGCACTATGAGCGCAATCTCACTGACAACCTGTGCTTTCAGGCACAGCTGCCCTGGATCCTGAGCAACACAGATTGTAGACACTGAGGGGTTACTAGTGGTCCCCAGAGTCCCTGTGCTCCTCAGATCCACCTGAACACTTCCTGATCTTGCCCTCACACTGGCTCCCAAGGTGACTTTCCAATCAGGGGGCTTTTCCTCCTTGGCCTCCAGTGCCTCCAGGGCATCTCTGGCCCTTGCCCACTGGGACCCCATGCTGAGCTCTTGCAGGGCTCTGCTATGACAGGGGTCTCCTGGGGACATGCTCTCAGTCTCAAGCCATGCCTCATTCCCAGCCATTTCTGAACCCACACTCCCCTCGAGTCTGGGTTTCCCGGACCCCAGGACAGTCCCTCTCTGCCAGGTTCTGCCTACAAGGTTGCATATGGGGGACTGAGAAGATGCCCTGCCCTCCTGTCCAGTCAGAGAGGCCTCTGATTGCTCATGGGTGTCAGCTGACTGGGACCCTCTTGGGACCCTCTGGACTTCCTCCTGCTCAGTTGGTGGGGCAGGGACAGGGCCACTCATGGTGGGGGCTGACTTGCTTGTTGTTCTATTGTCTCCTGGACCATTCTGGGGAGGTTTTCCCGACAAAATGGCAACCTTGGCTACAGATTGAGCCAGAGATTCCCAGGAGGCCCAGGGGAGAATGGTGGAGTGTGGGAGGGGTGGAGGCTGAGCCTCCCCTGACTAGACATTTATGGGCTCTAAGGACTGAAGTTCTGGACCCCACCTGTGCCTCACACAGAACTTGAAAAGATGTGCTTCCAGCATCTGCTGGGTGCAGGGATGGAGGAAGGACAGCTCCTGGGAGGTGTTCACGTGGGCTTTCCCACCCCTCCAGGATGTCACCTTTCTCGATTTCCTGTGGGTGTCAGACTTGGGAATGGCATGTTTGGCCATGAATTAGGAGCGATGCACAGACACAGGGATCCAGCCCTCCTTGATCTCCCCCACCTTCCTGTCCAGATGGACCTGTGGCTTGTTTTCCAGATGCTGCTTTTCTGGGTCCCTGGGTGCAGAACTTACTGATTGGTACTTCCAGGGCCTCCTGAAATCACCTTCTGCTTCCTCCTTGTCTTTCTCCAGAACCTTCACTGAAGTCCTTCCTGAGCCTTGATCCTGGTTCTGGCTCTAGTTTGGACCCTAAGCACCCCTTCCCAGAGAACCTTCCAGAGCTCCTGAGCCCTGCTTTCTGCACATCCTTCGTGCCCTTTCCTACAAATTCAGAATCCCGGGAGGGCAAGAGGGCCCCCTGCGTGGCTTCTGCCTGACTCTGGGGCCTCCCTGGGAATTCCCCCTTAGGCTGCAGCAGGTCTCCAGGTGCCTTGAATCTGCTGGGAGGCCACGGGACTGCTCCTGGCGGATGGCACTCCTTCCTTGCCACCGGTGCTCTGGGAGCTCAGGGCTGGTGGCAATCCCGGGAAGGATGGGGGCTGACTTAGGGTTCAGGGAGGCTGGCCTCTCCTGGGGAAGGTGGGAAGTGGGCTGGCTCAGGACAGCCTGAGACTTTTTGAGGAGAGAGGGCAAAACCCTCTTCCACTTTGGTCATTTCTGCAAGGGCCACTCAAGATACTTTTTTCCAGTGGGGATGACAGACTGTGCCCTCTTCTGGGATGTAGGGCAAGATGCTCCACAGACCCTAATCTGGGGTGGAGAAGAGGTTGGGACAGGGGTTGAGATTTGCCCCACTGTGTCTGGATCCCAGCTAGAGGCGGGGGCTGGGACTGGGGCCAGGTTGGAGTGAAAGGTTGGGGCTGGGCCACGTGGTGGGGCTGGGGCCGTGCCTGGGAAAGCTGTGAGGGTGTCTCAACCTCAGTTTCACCTGGAAGGGAAGTGGAGGCTTTATCCGATGGTACAGAGTGCTCATTCTGTGAGGAAATGTTCCTAGAAACCCAGGCCATGGTCACCAGGGACTCGCTATTGAAAGAGGGGAGATCCCAGAAGAGATGGCTGCATTTCTGCTCTAAGTGGTCCCACATGGCCATGGCGTCAGAGACCTGCTGAGGATGGGGCAGCTTCTGTGGTAGGTTTGCCACGTTCCAGAAGGGATTTAGAGTCGTGATGTCCCACTCCTTCCCCAGTGATGTCATCTGCGGGTAGTCTGCCCACCCCCATTCTTTCTCCTGCCACATCTTCATCACTGCTCTCTTGGAGATGAGTCTCCAGCAGCTTCTGCACGTTGGGATGGAAGAATGTGCGGCCACCTGCCTCCATCTGCCTGGGTGTGGGGTCTCCCCAGAAGGAAGCCTCTGGGGGGTGGTTGGGAAGATGCTGTTGCTGGGATTTGCCCTGTGAGCAGGTGGAGAGGCCCCAGGTGGTGGCAGCCTCCCTCCAGCGGGAGAGGTCCCGGATGGGACCGCTGGAGCACCCAAGGCCAGAGATCACCCTGGTTGGAGAAGGTGGCCCCTGGTTGTGTAGAGGGGAGCTCTGGGGGACAGGGCGTATTGTGGAGCCACACTGAAGTCCAGCCAGGCTGTGTTCGGGTGGAGGTGGAGAGGAGACCACGGGAACATGGGGCTGTGGTGAAGAAGGAAAAGCATATGTGGCCGGACTGCAGGGCATTTTAGGGGAAGCAAGGGCTCTGGAGGCCTGGAGGCACTCAGGGTTGAGCGTGGTCCAAAAGGCTCTGAGAAGGTCATTGTGTCTGGTGACAGGTTGGAGGCCAGAGGAACTGGGGGAGTCCTTGGGGACAAGCTGTCAGGAGATGGATCTTGCATGCATTTCCTATGCGGCTGGTGGGCCTTAGCAGGAGCTGGTTTGTACATATCACCCAGGGCTCTCCACCTAAGGGCAGATGGGAGCCACCCTCCCCAGTGAGCTTTCTCAGGTGGCTGCACAAGGCACAAGCTGCAGCCAGGGGCAGGTGGGGTTGGGAGGTCGGGAGGGCTGGGCACCTGGTGCCCACAGCTCCTCCACCTCCCCCACTGCTGGCTTCACAGAGCTCTGTCTGTGCCTGCCCAGGGCTTCAGTCCACTCCCGCCTCTTCCCAGGACCTCCCCCTCCCAGGTCAACACTGGACCCTGGGGCTGCCTCAGAGGCCCTGGTAGAAAGGACGACATGGAGAGAAGGGGAATCTCATCTTTCCAGAAGGTTGGTCAGGTCCTGAGTCTCCTCCAGCTCCCTCAGGAGGATTCTGCAAGCTGGAAGTAAGGAGACAGAGTTATGGCGGGGAGGGCGGTGCCAGCGAACCTCATGGGAGGCTGAGTGGTGGATGTCTCTTTAGGGGACACCATGGGGAACTAGACCCTGAAGCCCATGCATCTGTGTCCAAGGCCACATGGCCCCAATGGTGACAGCAAGGTGTGCATTGTGCAGAACTTTGTCATTTGCAAAAAGTGCTTCCATGTACAACCCCTCATGGGTGTCACAACCATCTTGTGGGGAGAGTGGATGGGGTGGTCTCTAAGAAGAGTCAGCCATGGCCGAGGAGAACAGCTGTCCACATGGACCTGGGGTCTCCCTGACCTCCCCCCATATCCTGGCAGGCCTTGGTCCCTTCCCCACAGCGCCCCCTTATGGGCAATACCGGTTCCCGGGCCCATGGCTTCATTCCCACAGGGAATATGAGGAGGCCCCGGGTTCTGATTTCCCTCCCAGGAGCTTCCCTCTCAGGCCTCTGCAAATGATTCCCTCAGGGACAGACGATGCTCAGTCACCTCTGGGGAGTCTCAGGGATTAGTAGGGCCTCACAATTCAGAGCTGGGATCTTCTTCCTGCTCCTGGGCCTCCCCTATCTCTTCCTTTGATGCTGAGAGGCAAGCAAGGGTGAGGGGCTGGGACCAGTTCTCAGTCTCCTCTTCCCAGACCAGCTGCACACACGCAGTGCTCTTGAAGGACACGGCTTTCTGCCTGTAGCTCAGGGAGCTCTGCGTGCGTTTCTTTTACTCATGTTTACCATTGATGAAATGTTTTCTGTTTTCCTTCTTAGGGAAATGCAAGCAGGGGTTTTCTGTGTGACTCCACCCTGGATATCCCCAGTCCCTGCTCCTCCGCTGAAGGCATACCCAGGCTCAGGCCTACAGGCACCTCTGAGCTGCCAGTAGGATTCTGCTTCAGAGGAGGCCAGACGTGAATCCAGGCTCTAGCGGGAGGCTCTCAGGGGTTCAGCACAGCTCCCAGATCACCCCACACAGAGGAGCCTGGACCCCCAGGCACCTGCCTTGGAAAGGGGCTGATGAGCCAGAGCTGGGGCCTGTCCTCCCACAGAGACCTCACCCCTCTCCTGATCTGGTCCTCGCCACTGAGTCCAGTGTTGGGTTTTGCCCTGATGCCTCCCGCGCATGTCACAGATAGTCTGGGAGCTGAGGATGGAATCCTCTGCCCACTCCCACCCCTGCCTGCTCTGCCCTTCCCTAGAGGGATGATGAGATTTCCCATCGCAGGAGAGTCTCTCATTACTTAGGAAAAGTGGAAATGAGGGGAGGAAAAGAAGAGAGAATCTTTCTCTGTGGGGCTGGGCTGAGGGCTCCTTACCTTCCTGCTGCTCCTCTTCCTCCCATGCGGGGGTGAGGGTGGGACACTGGGGAGGTAGAGGGCTAATAGGAAGAGGAAGCCCAGGCTCCACACTGAGGTGAGGATGAAATCCACAATCCAGGGAGTGGAGCTGGGGCCCAGCCACGTGGCACTAGGGCTCTTCAGAGGAAAGAGCATTTTTTCCATCTGAAGTGCAATGTTGCCTTCAAGCAACTGAGCCCTGGGCATCGCTTTTGGGACTAGGGACTGGAGCCCAGGCCTGCATCACAGAGCTGGGGCCTCCTCCTCACCAAGGGCTCCTGGGGGCAGGGGAGGGGCAGTGGGAGGAGGAGGCTGAAGCGCAGCCCCTCCTTCAGGTCCCAGTTCCAGTCCCTCCACCCTCCTGGGTCCCCCAGATCTTTCCTTCCCACTCCAGTTGCTCACCCTGTCAGAGACAGCCCTGGGTCCATTTTCTATTCTGTTCCCTGGAACACAGATGTTACCTGGTTTTGTGGAGATCTCTGTGCCAGTCCCTCAATCTCCTGCATCTTTAAATCTAGACTTCTCCCTGGAGTTTCTGTTATTTCTCCAGTTTCTTGCTCTTAGGAACTCATTTGTTTGCAGTTCTAACTTTCCCCCTTAATATGTTCTTGCCCTGCATCAACTCAGACATAGAATTTACATTTTTTGTACTTATTGATCGTTGTGAATTTTGATTACAATTTTCATAGTTTTTTAAAAGTTTAATATTTATTTTTGTGGGCACACAGTAGGTGTATATGTTAATGGGGCACATGAGATACTTTCATACAGGCATGCAGTGTGTAATAATCACAGCATGGTAAATGGGGTGTCCATCACCTCAAGCCTTTTTCCTTTGTGTTACAAACCATCCAATTATACTCCTTATTTTTTAAATGAACAATTAAATTATTATTGACTATAGGCATTCTATTGCTGTCAAATACTACAAATACCCAGTTTTATTCATTCTTTCTAATTACCTTCTTTATCCATTAACCATCCCCGTCTCTCTCCCCCTGTGCCTTCCCAGCCTCTAGTAACCATCCTTCTACTCTGTATCTCCATGAGTTTGACTGTTTAATTTTTAGCTCTCACAAGAGAGAACATGTGATGTTTGTCAGTCTTTCTTTGCCTGATTTCACTTAATGACCTCCAGTTCTATCCATGCTATTGCAAATGATAGGCTCTCATTGTTTTTTTATGGCTGAAGAGCACTCCACTGCTTATATGTACCACCTTTTCTTTATCCTTTCATCTGTTGATGGACACTCACTAGGTTGATTCCTAATCTTGGCTATTGTGAACAGTGCTAGAAGGAACATGGGAGTGCAAGTATCCCTTCAATATACTGATTTCCTTTCTTCTGGGTGTGTACCCAGCAGTGGGATTGCTGGATCATGAGGTAGCTCTAGTTTTAGTTTTTGAGGAACCTCCTAGCTGTTCTCCATAGAAGTTGTACTGACTCACATTTCCACCAACAGTGTATGAGGGTTCCCTTCACATCCTCGCCAGCATTTGCCATTGTCTGTCTTTTGGATGAAAGCCATTTTAACTGGGGCGAGATGAGATCTCCTTGTAGTTTTGATTACCTTTCTCTGATATCATTGATGTTGAGCACCTTTTCATATACCTGTTTGCCATTCATATGTCTTCTTTTGAGAAATGTCTGTTCACATCTTTTGTGTATTTTTTATTATTTTATTTTAACTTCCGGGGTACATGTGCAGGATGTGCAGGTTTGTTACATAGGTAAATGTGTGCCATGGTGGTTTGCTGTACCTATCAACCCATCACATAGGTATTAAGCCCCGTATGCATTAGTTATTTTTCCTGATGCTCTCTCCTGCTTCTGACAGGCCCCACAGTGTGTTGTTCCCCTACCTGTGTGCATGTGTTCCCTTTGGTCAGCTCCCACTTATAAGTGAGAACGTGTGGTGTTTGGTTTTCTGTTCCTGTGTTAGTTTGCTGAGGATAATGGCTTCCAGCTTCATTCATGTCCCTGCAAAGGACATAATCTCATTCTTTTTTATGGCTGCATAATATTCCATGTTGTCTATGCACCACATTTTCTTTATCCAGTCTATCACTGATGGGCATTTGGGTTGATTCCATGTCTTTGCTTCTGTGAATAGTGCTGCAATGAATATATAAGTGCATTCATCTTTATAACAGAATAATTTATATTCTTTGGGTACATACCCAGTAATGGGATTGCTGGGTCAAATAGTATTTCCCATTCTAAATCTTTGAGGAATCGCCATAATGTCTGCCACAATGGTTGAACTAATTTACATTCCTGCCAACAGTGTAAAATTGTTTCTATTTCTCCCCAACCTCACCAGCATCAGTTGTTTCTTGACTTTTTAATAATTGCCATTTTGACTGGCATGTGATGGTATCTCATTGTGGTTTTGATTTCCATTTGTCTAACAATCAGTGATGTTGAGCTTTTTTCCTTATGTTTGTTGGCTCCATCTATGTCTTCTTTTGAGAAGTGTTTGTTCATGTCCTTTGCCCACTTTTTAATGGGGTCTTTTGTTTTCTTCTTGTAAATTTCCTTAAATTCCCTGTAGATTCTGGATATTGGACCTTTGTCAGATGGATACATTGCAAAAATTTTCTCCCATTCTGTAGGTTGTCTGTTCACTCTGATGATAGTTTCTTTGCTGCGTGAAACTCTTTAGTTTAATTAGTTCCCATTTGTCAATTTTTGCTTTTATTACAATTGCTTTTGGCGATTTCAACATAAAATATATGCCCATGACTATGACCTGAATGGTATTGCCTACATTTTTTTCTAGGGTTTTTATAGTTTTGGCTTTTACATTTAAGACTTTACTTTATCTTGAGTTAGTTTTTGTATAGGGTGTAAGGAAAAGATCCAGTTTCAGTTTTCTGTGTATAGCTAGCCAGTTTTCACACCATTTATTAAATAGGAAATCCTTTCCCCATTGCTTGTTTTTGTCAGGTTTGTTGTCTTGCCTAGAGGTTACACACTGAATTACCATTTGGAGATCATCCATTCCCACCTGGTGTGGATCAAAGATAACAGGGGCCAACAGGAGAAAGTTTGAGCCTTGCCAGGTCAACACTGGTGCTGAACAAAGTGACTTGCGTCTGTTTTGCTACATGTATTTTGCTTTGGCTGGGATGGAAAATATTAATTTGATTCCCCATGCAGCCTGTTGAGCAGCATCTTGCAAAATTGAGAAGCTTATGCCTATGGTTCTATCAAACAGAAAAGCATAATTTTATTTTGTAATGGAACTTGGCTCCCATAGCTATGTTACACTGAGCAAGGTCATCAAAGCTGCTCTGTTCTTCTGAAAGCTGCAGAGAAAGGGAACCCAGAAACCTGGTATGCTGGCGAAAAAAGGGTAAGAAATTCTTACCAACCAAGTTTCTCATATTTCTCTCTCTCTCCCTGTCTCTCTCCCTCCCTCTCCCTCTGTGTGTTTGTGTGTGTGCGTGTGAATGCAAATGGTAAATATCACTGTTTGTCTTCTCTCCTCTGTTTTCTCTTTTCTACAAATAGAAAAAAGGATTTGTGAGACTAGTCTTAGGCTGTAGCAAATCTGGAGCACTTTGTGCTAAGAATTTATCTTTCTGCTTTGTTCTTTAATGGAGAGAGAGGTATCACAGGAGAGAAGGTGGGCTTAGGACCCCTATAAGCCTGCCTTTCAAGCCAGCCTGGCAGCTGGTCATTTACAAACTTTGCTGGGGGTCCCCAAGACCAGTGCCATATAAAGTTTCCATCTTTTCGTTTTATGCCCTTGAGAGCTTAACCTTGTGACCATGTGGGGATACTTTCTCTTGGTGTCTGCCATTCAGCGGACAGGAATTTGGGGATTCATGTCATAGCACTAAAAATTATCTTGAGCAGGTAGAAGCTTTTGCAAGGTCAAAATTGGCACCTCTAGGCTCCTTCTGGGAAGAGCAACAGAACCTGCTGAATGATGTAGCTCAATAACCAAGGCTTTTGTCTTTTGACAGTGGCTGCCCCAGGTTCAATTCTTGGCTTTGGGAATGATTCCCTTCTTGTTTGTTATTTGTGTAACTGCCATTTTTTGAGGGATTCCCCCCTTTCTATGGATAATTTCTGATTTCCTGTCTTGAATTTTCCTTTCTGTGAACTACCCTGGGGAAATTCTAACTCTTGTTTAAAAAAAACTACTTACCATCTCTTTGAAACACATCATGAGTTCATGGTTAAGTTATAACCTTAGTTAAAACTTATTAATTTCATGTGAGAGGTTACCTGGTATAGAATTCAAAAGCCAGAAATGTGGGGTGTCCTCACTAGAGCCTGGTAATAAGGGATTTTGAAAGTTTTTTTTTTTTTTTTTAAACAGCAGAGCTCTATGGTTAAAAGTGGCTTAATTAAAAATAGACATCCAGGGTTGGGTGGGGTAACCCTAGATATCTATTTTCATGCCTGTAATCCCAGTACTTCAGGAGGCCAAAGCAGGAGGATTGCTTCAGCAGGAGTTTGAGACAAGCCTGGAAAACATAGACCACATCTTAAAATTAAATAAATAAATAAATAAAAGTACCCAAACTATATCTATTTAAAAGGCCTTTATCTTTTCCTCTTCTAGATTCATGTCTTTCTGGAATAAGTTCTTTTCTTCTGAATTGATTTTCTCCATTTTTTCTTCTTGCCATGCTTAAAGCACACCTGAGAGAACCTAGATAAATTCTAACAGCCTGGGACTCATAGGGAAAAACAGAGGAGGCATCACAGACCCCATTCTGGGAAAAACCTCCATTTTCCTCATGAAACCCCAGGAGCTGAAAGTTGATAGATCTCCCTCAAAATCTAAGTCTCGGTTCAATTTTCAATTTTACATTATGTTACCTGACTTTTTTTGTTTTTTTTTTTTACTTTTGGGTATATCAGAAATTGCTTCACATTATGGGAGAGCTTTTAGCCATGGTTTATAATAACCAGATAGGAAATACACTATAAGGGACTGCTAATGGCAATTAGGAGGAATACTTGGCTCCTTGCATGCTTGGATCAGAGAAGCACACTCTTGACCACCTAGAAGGTATGAAAACATCCCTATCCCCCACTGAGAGATGAGAATCCCATGGGGGATGGGCTGATTACAAAATGGGCTGATTGGCTTTGGATTGTCTTGCAATAAAATGCAGGGTAGAAGCACTGCACTAGCTTCTTCTGTAGTATTTCCCTCTTTTTGGGGGGAATCCAGGATCCCATATAAAATGGCACCCTTAATTTGGGGGATCTGTTTTTGCCTTCCAGCTGTGCCTGCTTATTAGGCCCTAGAAATTGCATGCTTTCCCAGCCCTATTTTTCAAAGGGCTCCAGCCTGAATCTAGTAATCCCACTAGGAAACTTAAGAACTGGCAAATGAAAAATCTTACAACTACTGGATCTTCTGTCTGTCTATGTATTTATATATGTTTTGTGTGTGATGTTTACATAAAAGCTCTAATTAATTGGTTTAAAGAAAAGTAGGCACTTAAGTCAAATATTTTGTCAGTAAAATTAAAACTAATGCCCTTTAGTTCACCTAACTTTAGTAATCTTTTGGTAATAAAGACAGATTAAAAATTATTGATAAAATAGGCTGGGCACAGTGGCTCACACCTGTAATCCCAGCACTTTGGGAGGCTGAGCTGGGCAGATCATGAGGTCAGGAGATCAAGGCCATCCTGGCTAACACGGTGAAACCCCATATCTACTAAAAATACAAAAAAATTAGCCAGGCGTGGTGGTGAGCACCTGTATTCCCAGCTACTCGGGAGGCTGAGGCAGGAGAATGACGTGAACCCTGGAGGCGGAGCTTGCAGTGAGCTGAGACTGCGCCACTGCACTTCAGCCCGGGTGACAGAGTGAGATTTCGTCTCAAAAAAAAAATTGGTAAAATAAAATGTCTTCAAAATTTAGACATTTGGTCTAAATTGGGTCTGATGTTAGGTTTGCTAAATGCTTTAAGATCATAAACTGCTTCTTTAACTTTTAAAAATTGTTCAATTTACCTAGCTTGGAGTCATTACTTTCTAGATAAGGCCCGGTGACATGTGAAATTAGCCCCCTAGCTGCTCAAAGAAGGTTAAAAAGAAAAGAGATTTTGTATAAGAAAGGATCTTGTATGGTAAATTTTTGTCCTAAAGTGAAATGACTGGTTGTTGAAATGACCGTTGTCCAAGCATGTAATAGATGGTCTAAGCCATGAAAGGATTCATGAAAGGGAATTTATGCAAGAAACGTTGTACAATTTAAAGGTTATTAGGCTGCCTAAATGCTTCACAAACGCCACTGTGACTCTTAACTATACACTTACCTGCGTTACTGCTAGGTAAGTGCTGGGCATATGTGGAGATAGCCACATCCCATAGCTATGCTGGAAAAAGTCAGACTTGATCTGCACTTCTGTCCTTTGTCTGTCCTAAGCTCCACACTTGGTACATAATTAAAATGTCCTACTAACCAGGTTTTTCACCAAAAATAGAAGTTGCACAGAGTTAACAGTGTAACATGTATTGAGGCTACTGAAGAAACATTTCCACATTCAAGGCATGTAAGAAAAGTAGAATGTACTTTTGGTAAAAGATTATAAGAAGACCTGGGAATATGGATTTCTTTCCCAAGTTTAGAGGGTTATTGTTTTAAGTGAGACAGGAAAAGTCTAAAGGTTTTTTTTTGTTTTGTTTTGTTTTTTGTTTTTTGAGATGGAGTCTCGCTCTGTCGCCCAGGCTGGAGTGCAGTGGCGCAATCTCGGCTCACTGCAAGCTCCGCCTCCCGGGTTCACGCCATTCTCCTGCCTCAGCCTCCCAAGTAGCTGGGACTACAGGTTCCCGCCACTACGCCTGGCTAATTTTTTGTATTTTTAGTAGAGACGGGGTTTCACCATTTTAGCCGGGATGGTCTCGATCTCCTGACCTCGTGATCCGCCCGCCTCAGCCTCCCAAAGTGCTGGGATTACAGGCGTGAGCCACCGCGCCCGGCCTAAAGGTTTAAGCAAGTTGTGAAAAGTTTATAAAAAATTAATTGTAAAAGAGATTCTGTGTGTAAACATATTGGCTAAAGTTAAAGGGGTATTAGTCAATGTTTCCATAAGTTGAACATTGGAATAAAAGCATAACAGAGTTTTCTTAAAACATGGTTCTGCTCTGTAACAACAACAACTAAATTGTAAAGGGTTATAAAAGGTTTATAAGAACATTAACTTATGGTCAAACTAATTAAAGCTGGATAGATTTATAAAATTTTAATAAAAACTAGCTTTAGCATTAAAGGTGCAATAATGCAAACATGAAATTTGGTTTTCTCTTTTGAAAAAGATTCTTGTGTAATATTGAGAAGCAATGAAAAAATTTTGTTTGCCTTTTAAGGGAGGGGAGAGAGAAGTGACCAATTCAGGGGACGGCTTCACTGGGTCTTGTAGTTTGAGAAGCTGAGTCTCTTTTCTATCAAACTAAAGGTTTTTTCCTTTTTAAAACTTTGTGAGTTATCATTTTGGCTAAATAACTGACTTATGGTGACCTGGCATTCTATTTTGTGACATCCAGTGTTTTAAACCATATTTGACAAACCTGACAAGATCAAATTAGAAGTTAAACAAAAATAGGTCCCCTACAGTCCAAAAAGATATAATCTGCTTATTTAATGTATTAAAATCATGCAGAAAACATGGCCAAATATAAAATGATGTTTAACTTTCTTTGGGTTATATTCACATAAATACTTTATTAGCATGTGTTTCAAAACTGTATAAGATTCTTATAAGTTTGATATGCCTTAGCATATGTTATCAGTAATAATTATAATTGATACATTAAATTATTGTGTGCCACAGAGGTTAAACATTTTCTTGTTTTATAATCAGCTATGAAACTTGGATGGGTGCTCTTGAATGCAAGTTTCTGATAGCTTTGGAGATTGCAACATTAGAATAAAGGAAAAAACGTTCAGGACTCTCATGGAGAGCTGACTTGTTCAGGAACATTAAGCAGAACAAGAGTTTACTGAATGGAATGAACTAATAGAAAACTGAACTAATCTTTTCCTTTTTTTTTTTGCTTAAAATGTGGCTGTTCCTTTTCATTTTTCAGAGAGCCAAGAAAACTTTTCTTTTGATTACAGCTTTTAACAACTGAGAAAAATATACTCCTGTGAACAAAATTTGGAGCATGTTTGTTTCTCTCTACCTGATTTCTCAAGAATCTGGAAGCTATTTGCAAGTATTTTTAATTTATGGCAACATAATTATTTGCATAAGTGCAATAAGAATGTTTTCTTTTGCAACAGGACACAATTGGAGAAACTGTTTATTTTACTAAGGTTTTGACTGGGATGGCATGCTTTTGTTTAAGGAATCAAACTTGATTTACAAAGCCAATAAAAACCCCTAGGGTAAACTGGCCTCATACCTTGTCTACGCAGTCCCTGTACAGGGTTCCTAACGTATGGTAAGTAAAGAATGTCACTTTCCAAAAGGCCCCGGAATCTTAAGTTATCTTGGGATCTCAAGAAGAGGGGAATGTACCCAACTCATAGGCATTTGAGGGTACAAACCCATGGCTGGGATGGGCTTTAAAAAAAGTCTATCTAAGACTCTTTATGCAGAGTTCCATCAAAGCCAACTTAAAAGGCCCATGTGAAAAATAATTATTCTTGCTGTGCTCTTTGCAAATAATCATGCCAAGTATAATAAAATTAAAGTTTATTTCACAAACAAAATCGGTCCTATCAGGATTTGTTTTTAATAAAAATAAGAACTGAAGAGAGAAAAAATTGTTTCAAAAACTACAGTACACCTGTTGTTAGTTGTTTTTGAGGATTTTTTTTTCTGCCATTTAGACTGAATCCTAAATTTTGGGAGGCTACAAGTGCTCAAACTAATGCTTTTAAGTCTTTACTTTTAAAACTGGGAATGGCACTCCTTGTTCCGGAACTCATTACTTACCTTATTGTACACTGTTTGTGTAAATGTCGTACTAAAACTGTAGATGAGAATACGAATGCCTTTGTCATGAAAGCCTTGGAAGCTCAGCCTGGCTTGCGTGAGTACACTCAAACAGCTCAGACAGCTGCAAAGCAGTTCCACTCCTCTCACCTTGGGGTCAACACCTACCCCACTATGCCCCCTGTCTGCAGGAAGAATCCAGAGTGATCGACGGCCTTTTCCCATCTTCATAGCCCACACCTTAAGAATAAGGTGCTATGAAACCCTAAGGGAGGGATTGAAACAGCCTTTGCAAAAATTATAACTGAGAAAATAATGACAGTGAAAGAGATCAGACCTAACCGACTCCATCTTGCTTCTAACCTTTAAGCTGTCCTTGTTCATTCCTGGGCATAGGCCGAACTAACCTCGGGAAGGAATTTGCAGACCCTGCACTCGATGGATCAGCTGACACCGCCTAGACTGGTAATCTGGCTCAATCAGTTCTGAGATCCTACCCAGGAACAGAAGATAGCAAGGAAACCTCACTTCGACCCCCTATGATTCCATCTCCAACTTGATCAATCAGCACTCCCCACTTCTCTAGCCCCTACCCGTCAAATTGTCTCTAAAAACTTAAGCTGAGCACGGTGGCTTACGCCTGTAATTCCAGCACTTTGGGAGGCCGAGGCGGGCGGATCACGAGGTGAGGATTTGGAGAGCAGCCTGGCCAACATAATGAAACACCGTCTCTACTAAAAATACAAAAAAACAGCTAAGCGTGGTGGCGGGCACCTGTAATCCCAGCTACTTGGAAGGCTGAGGCAGGAGAATCGCTTGAACCCTGGAGGCAGAAGTTGCAGTGAGCTGAGATCACACCATTGCACTCCAGCCCAGGCAATAGTGCGAGGCTCCATCTTAAAACAAAACAAAACAAATGCTCAAGAAGTCTGATTTGAATAATAATGAAACTCTGGTCTTCCGCAAAAATAAAGTAAAAATACAGGTAAGTTAATTCTAATAAGGTCTATTGTTACAAAGTCTTTTTGAGTTTCTATACAGCAGAACAATATTACAAGACAGAACCTTCAAAAACCACTTCATTGCAACTCTGAGTCCCTAAGGAAAAGAGAAAAAAATGTGGAAAAATCAAACGCTTTTTTAATGGCACAGAGGTCATTGTTTTCTTCTATAATTGCAACAGCAAAATCTATATATCTGGGTATATATACATGTATATGTGTTTTTTACATTTTAGATAGCATGCCATTCTCCATTTTATGAAAATTTCATATAGAATACATATATTTGAAATATGAACTGAAAAACATTAAGCATTAATAAAGAAAATAATGAACATCTCCTACTGGAATAACTTACCATTATTGTTTTTATATTTATCAACAGCTCTAGAACTTTAACATGGACATATATAAAAGTGACCACTTCCTTAGAATTCCATTTTGAGTTCTCGTTTTGTTGTGTTTTATTTTGTTTTGTTTTGGTTTGGTTTTGGTTTGTTTTGAGACGAAGTCTCGCTCTGTCGCCCAGGCTGGAGTGCAGTGGCACAATCTCGGCTCACTGCAACCTTCGCCTCCCCAGTTCAAGCGATTCTCTTGCCTCAGCCTCCTGAGTAGCTGGGATTACAGGTGTCCGCCACCGCGCCCGGCTAATGTTTGTATTTTTTTTAGGTTTCACCATGTTGGCCAGGCTGGTGATTTCCCGTTTTGAAAAGTAAAGGTTTCAGCCGAACAGAGACCTACTTTCTGCTGTGTCACATCGCCCTCTGGTGGCTAAATGGCTTTCTTACACAGTAACCCCAAATAATAACTATCATATAAAAGAACTTTTTAAAAAATCGTGATAACATTAAAATGATTAGAAATATATAACTCATAAGCAAAGTCACAGCACTATGATATTTACATGTTTATCACACGTCAAATACATTTAAATATTTTGTGATGTGTGAATCTTCACATTCCTGAACCACCTATAAAGTTCCATTTCCCAAGGTTAAATTGAGGCAGGATTTTTAAAGACTTTTAACTAGCTAACAGAGAAAAGTGTACAATTTCCATTAACCTCCCCAGTGACAAGCTTTCTCAAGACCCAGCGAGGTTGTATGTGTGTTTGTGTTTTGTTTTTGTTTTTGTTTTTGTTTTGAGACGGAGTCTCGCTCTGTCGCCCAGGCTGGAGTGCAGTGGCGCCATCTCGGCTCACTGCAAGCTCTGCCTCCTGGGTTCACGCCATTCTCCTGCCTCAGCCTCTCGAGTAGCTGGGACTACAGGCGCCCGCCACAACACCCGGCTAACTTTTTTGTATTTTTTAGTAGAAACGGGGTTTTACCGTGTTAGCCAGGATGGTCTCGATCTCCTGACCTCCTGATCCACCCGCCTCGGCCTCCCAAAGTGCTGGGATTACAGGCATCAGCCACCACGCCCGGCCGTGTGTTTGTGTTTTAATATGGTTTTTCTGTGTATAAAAGCTATACGTGTTCATCTTAGAAAATTTAGAAATGACAGAATTTGATTTTGCTTATTCTAAATCCCTTGGGATTATTTCCAGTATAGATGGCAGTGAGGAAGGAATAATTTCAGGACACTGGCTTTCTTCTTCCACAAGACCCCAGCTGGGCAAAGGGAACTGGATGGCCTTGGGCCTGTGGCCCCAGTGCACCCTCCTCTGGGGCCTGTACCTGGCTCTGGATAGTAATCCCCACTGCAGAATGGAAGAGGCTGCTCCCACATAAGCCGTTGAGTCCAGACTCCAGAAACCTGGGTCCGTGCAGTACTCAAAAAGGAAAGTACCGACCACCCAGACCAGAGCTGGCAAGAAGGCGAAATGGGATTGATTCATTCATTCAACAAATACTCGCTGAGCTCCAGCCGAATGCTAGGCACCATGTTCAGGATATAGATGATTGATGTAATCCCTGGCCTTGGCAGTTTGGGGTAAAGAGCTATCATCACTGCTGACTTCATAACAATCACATGCCTTCAGAGATAAAGTGAACACTCACTTCTAACAAAGCAAAAATAAGAAGAAAAAGAAATGCACACTCCCGATTTCTTTGTCCAAAGTGGTATGACTGGGTGATTTGTGACCTTCCCATTTGCATGCCCGATTGCCAAAAAGCATGGCAATTACCCCACACACCTTTACTCATCCCAAACTAACTATGCTGAAAACACTGCACAATGGAGATTTCCTTTATGCCTGCTCAGGCCTAACAGTTCCATATTCACTGGCCTGGCTGTCTTCTCCAAGCTGAAAGAGGCAGAGCCATTACCAGTATTTTTCTTGGAAGGGCAGGAAGTAAAAACACATCTGAGTAACACTCAAGAAAATATTGTTTATGTCCAAGATGATGAATTAATCTTTTTTTATTCTCTCTTTCTCTTTTTTTTTTTTTGAGACAGTCTTTCTCTGGCACCCAGGTTGGAGTGCAGTGGCATGATCACAGCTCACTACATCCTTGACCTCCCAAGTTCAAGCCATCCTCCATCAGTCTCCAGAGTTGCTGGGACTACAGGTGCACCTTGCCTGGATAAATTTTTTATTCTTTGTAGAAATGGGGGCTCACTATATTGCCCAGGCTGCATCTTTATTCTTTCATCCCATCCTCAACTAAAGTCATGTTACTATAATAGAAGTGAAATACCATAGCCCCGTGTGCCTCAGCAGGCAGGGGCTGTCAGCACTCTTCATATTGCTGAGCATTTCAAAGCTGTGTTGGCAGCTGTTCCACAGTCGACTTCAGGGTCCCTGAGATGATTGGCTCTTGGAGATGATCCAGCAGGGTTCTGGTAGCTGAGCTCATCCACCAAGTCCACACTGGCAGTGAAAATGGCTTCTGGGCTTGGGGCTTTCTGGGCCCAGCCCCAGGGCAGACTGAGTCAACACACGAAGGACAGCCTTCTGCACCCACAGCAGACAGGGGAGGGGCAAAGGGAGACACGCGGTCCCAGTGGGGCAGGGAGGCTAGAACACGGCCACACCCTTTGCGAGCCACAAACATTTTTGCTGAGCACAAAATTCTCTCCAGCTGGGCAGACAGAGGAAAAAAGCAAAATGAATGAGTAGAGCACGTGGCACATCATCAGGGAGTTCCATGGAGGAAAGTGGAGCAGGTGAAGGGCAGGACGAGGGACATGGAGTGCCAGCTAGGGGCTCGAGAAAGTGATGGCAAGAGCTATGTAAGGCTGACATTGGGATATGGTTCTGAAGGGAGTGAGGATGGTGACGTGGCTGTGTGTGGAAAGGGAATGTCAGGCGGGGGTGACAGCAGGGATAAATGCCTGGAGAGCATGGCTGTGTGTGGAAAGGGAATGTCAGGCCGGGGTGACAGCAGGGATAAATGCCTGGAGAGCAGAGTGGCCCGCTATTTCCCAGGAGGAAGGACCTGTGGCTCAAGTGTCAATGAAAGTGAGCGGAGAGGGCTGAAGTCGGGGTAACAGGGCCAGCCTGTGTGCAGCCCCCTGGATGTGGGCGAGGGAGTTGTCTCTGCCGTGTGAGAGGAACAGCCACAGGAGGGCTTTCAGGAGAGCGCATGGTGTGAGGTTTTTCAGACTCACTGTGGCTACTGTGGGAAGAGTGTTTTAGGTGCCTCCCCTTTACCCCACTGGGTCAGCAGGGTTTCTGCCCTAGGCCTAGGGGGATGGCTGCACACACACGCACGACACTTGACAGAGGAGATGAGCACTGGCTTATTAGCCACATAGACAGACTCATACCCCGAGGAGGAGAACCCCAGGCCATGCAGGGGGAATCCGCGGGACTGAACAGCCCTGAGCTCAGGAGAGGGTCTACATGCATTGCAATTAAAAAGGAAATGCAGCCGGGTGTGGTAGCTCATGCCTGTAATCCCAGCACTTTGGGAGGCCGAGGTGGACGGGTCACCTGAGGTCAGGAGTTTGAGACCAGCCTGGCCAACACGGAGAAACCCCGTCTCAACTAAAAACACAAAAAAATTAGCCATGTGTGATGGTGCATGCCTGTTATCCCAGGTATTCGGGAGGCTGAGGCATGAGAATCACTTCAACCTGGGGGGCAGAGATTGCAGTGAGCTGAGATCACACCACTGCACTCCAGCCTGGGTGACAGAGTGAGACTGTGTCTCGAAAAAAAAGAAAATGCATGCCGTCAAGTCCGCTCGTGCCGAGATGAGGTGTCTCCAGTTGTCCAGCATCACATCGCGGTACAGGGTCCTCTGAACAGGGCCCAAGCGCTGCCAATCCTCCTGGCGGACCCCCAGCCACGTCCTTGAATGACACTGATACCTGTAATTGTGCATTTCTCAGCACTTTGGGGGTTCGGAAACAGGGACATGGAAAACACATTTGGGATGTGATTCCTACTATGTTTATTGTTGCAAATCTAAACAAGTTACTGTAAGGTATGCCTATTTTAGTTCTAGTTTTGCCTTACGCTTTTGGGGTAACTCAAGCAGTAAACATATTTTGAACATCGTAACTCATTTGTACATGAGCGTGCATTAGATACATATACTATCATGTACTAAGCTAACACTAGTATTGTTTTAAAAAATTCTTATTTAGGTGAAAATCAGTGTAATTAGAGTTTTCACAATTTCCTTTCCACACTTTAAAAGATCTTGGGCATTCCCTGGGCTGTACACACCCTCCTTGAAGATCCTGCTGTGGCTACTGGGGAGTCTGTAAAGTGATCCATGTAAGGCCTGAATGTGCTGTATCAGACTTATGTCAAAGAAGCAATGCTTCAGAAGAGTGGACGGTGGCTGAAGGGGAAGCCAGAACCAGAGACCTGAAAAAGAGATGACCGCCTTCACTAAAGCAACAGCAATGGGGAAAGGAATCGGGGACTAGTCCCATGGCAGAAGCCGCAACGGAATTTGTCATCCATTTCTTGAGTGGCTTCCCTGAATGAGTAGCTGGGTCAATGCTGGTGCCATCTATAGTATTAAGGGAAAGATGGCAAAGTCAGAGTCTATAAATGAGGATTCTACGGCAGTTCTGGACCTTGTGGAACTTTATGTCTAACTGGAAAGATCCAGAAATGGCAGTTTTCACTAATCTGCGAAGTGCAGAGGCAGGGGCAGCACGGGCTCCGAGGACTGAGATGAGGAAGGACAAGTGGAAAGAGAAGAGGATCGGTTTTGTGGATGAGGCCATCAGACTTGACTCATGACAAACCAGGAGGAATGGAGAAGCTGACGGGGCAGGGTTCAAGGTCCATGCAGCCCCAGTGAGAGCATGAGGTGAAGCTGTGTCAGAACAGCAGGATGTGTCCGGGATTTAGTCGCACCTGAGAATAAAGTTACATGGTGAACTTTTCTCATCACTTTCCCCAGTGGACAGTAAACCCCACTGTGGGAAACGGCATTTTCAGCTGTAACTGTGCAGATGCCACACCCCTGGGCAGTCCTCACTCTGCAGGCTCCGATTCTCACAGCGCCCAGTGATGCCAGCAAAACACTTTATCAGGAGTGTCCAATCTTTTGGCTTTCCTGGGCCACACTGGAAGAAGAACTGTCTTGGACTGCACATAAAATACATTAACACTAACAAAAGCTGATGAGCTAAAGAAAAAAAATGACAAAAAATACCTCATAATGTTTTAAGAAAGCTTACAAATGTTTGTTGGGCCTCATTCAAAGCTGTCCTGGGCTGCATGCAGCCCGGGGGCTGTTGGTTGGACATGAAGGGGATTCTTAGAGAGATTTCACTGCACTGAATGCTCACAGTTTATTTACATAACAGTTCAAACTCCAGTTATCACTGTGCCTTCAAAGTGCACACGTCGCTCCTAGCACCTCTGCCCACCAGCCTCTACATGAACACCAGGAGCACGTGGCGATCAGTGACCAACCACACCACTCCCTTCAGAATCTGCAGGGCCCTTCCCTCCGCATGCACAGCTCGGTTCCTGTACAGACAACACCACGTGTAGTCATCTTGCTTCTTAGATTCCTAGTAATAAAACCACTCGGAATGTTACAAAGATAAAAACTGGAAGAGTGGATTGGCCAACAAAGAGGAAAGTGCAGGAAAGAAAGGAAGAGTGACAGCCTCGGAAGTACCATTCAGACCTCCAGGAAAGGGCACTGTGGTGCTGCCTCTGTGGGTGCTGACATTGCACTGGTCAGGAGGTGCACCAAGCCAGGCTAGGGGCCACCAAGCCTGGCTTTTAATACATTTTTATAAAGAAATAAGCTTGAACTATCAGTGTGTCTAAAGATTTTAAATTACAATATATGAAATAAATATCAGTTTTCCTGAGTTTCGTTTTCATGTGTTCATATGAAGACAATATGCAATGGTAAGAGACATGTTAACGTGTGGATAAAAAAATTCAAAGGTTGCAGAACACTCATGATTTTCTCCACTGATTATTAAGATCACTTTATAGTTTTGGCTTGCATGGTCGTTCTTATAGTCACAGACTACTATGCGAAGTGAGGACTATGTCGATATAAGGAAATCTTTGTTGGATAGAAGAACACTAGGAGTTTCAAAAGGAGACATGGGAAGAAGTCATGTCCCCAAAGTCCTCTATTTGGTACTGAGAAGCTACTCACTTCGGTATAAGGAGGGGGTGACAGACTTTCCAGAGGGAGGAGGCATTATCTGAGTTCAGACGAAAGATGTGCTGAGCAGGGCAAGAGACAGGTGACCTGGTTCAGGAGAGAAAACAAAACTTTGAAATATATTTAAGAATATAAAAAACTGGCCGGGTGCGGTGGCTCATGCCTATAATCCCAGCACTTTGGGAGGCCAAGGCGGGTGGATCACGAGGTCAGCAGTTCCAGACCAGCCTGGCTGAGATGATGAAACCCCGTCTCTACTAAAAATACAAAAAATTAGCCGGACTCAGTGCAGGTGCCTGTAATCCCAGCTACTCGGGAGGCTGAGGCGGGAGAATTGCTTGAATTTGGATGGCAGAGGTTGCAGTGAGCCAAGATCATGCCACTGCACTCCAGCCTGGGTGACAGAGTAAGACTCCGTCTCAGAAAAAAAAAAAAAAAAGGATATAAAAAACTGATAGTTTTGACCTAAAAACAGCAAAACTAGAAAGACCCAATGCCCAACTGGATGTGGCAGGAGCTGAGAGGGCGGGAGGGTGGGTTAGGGTGACATTGTCCCCAGGGAGCAGGGGAATGGGTGTGATGTGGGAGCCACCCCAAGCCGTCCGGTGCCTGGCCCTGGGGTGACCAGGTGAGGGAATCAATATTCCTGCAGGATAAGAGCCACATAAAGAAGGTAGTGGAGGGGGGAGCCTATAGGAGCAGTTAATTTGCTTGTGAAAGGCGTGTTTATCACCTCTAAGAATTAGCTGGCCCTGGGAGGAGCAGTCTTTCCCCAGCCAGAGAGGCCCCAGATGCCAGAGCACCAAGAACACAGAAATAAATAAAAACATGGGTAACGTATTTGTCTGTAGTCAAGTCACTGGTGGGTGGAAGCCATAGGCAAATGGTTTCCATTTGTGATAATGGAATTTCCACGAGAGAAAATGCACCACCAAACAGGGATTTGGAACATGAATGATAAGCGTGGAAACATTTTGCAGAGAGCAGGATCGTAAGCTGTCAAGAGACTTGCAGATCACAAGTATTACTATCTTAATGGACATCCATTCTCCCTCCAGGTATTCCAGACTTTATCCCCGCCAGAGGCAAGAACATCATAAAGACATCGACCTCCACTTCTGGAAGCCAGTACTGAGCTCTGGCTTGCCACACTGCCTTCCTCTTCCATTGAAGAGCCAGCAGGGACAGCAGCCTGTGTGAGCTCAGGGTTGTCACTGCAAGGTGGTTGCTACATGACTTACACAAAGACATTTTTCAGATTTCACTTTTCTTTTTCTCTCACGAGGAATCAGTTAGCTTTATGCTTCTTATCAATGCACATATTTAAACACATAGTATCCCTCATGGCCTTGGCTATCATTATGCTCAGAAATAGCTTTGTACCAAGAGTAACTGTGTATGTCTACATGCCAACTTTGCCTTGCAATTGATCAGTTCTATGTTTTCTCTGGTTAATTGGACCATTGGACTACATTTAGACACACAGACCTTGAACCCCCCTACAGAAGCCATTGTAAAGCAAGGTGGTTGGTTCCTAAACAGATCACCTGAAACCTTCTCATTTTCTGTTGTTCTGGAAGGAGTGAGGAGGACAGGAAGGTGTCACAGAGCGGGGAGGAAGGAGAAGTGGAGTTGAGTGAGACCTGAATGGTCTTACCGCTCCTACATCGCATCCACATGCCTGAAACCCTGGACCCTGGGCCAGGTGAAGTCTTCCCTGGGGTGTACTCTTCCTTGGCCCTTGAGCCGAAGCAGGAGGGCCCCGTAGAGGCAGCACAGCCTGTCCACCCACAACGCTCATGAGTATGTGGACTCACATTTGTAGTTTTGCAGAGAGTTAATGTCAACTTTGTTGTCCATTGACTTATTAACAACTTATTTCTCCTTTGCACGGAAAAAATTCAGAGAATTGATAATATAGATTACAGTAGCCAAAGAATGAAACAACATGGTATAGAAAAAATAGCCTTATTGTTTGGCTGCATTCCCACTAGCGCTGTTGAGACTTGGGAGCACCAGGCAAGTCTCTGAAAAGGGGATGAGGAAGCCGAAAGCAAGCTGCATTTTGCTTGGCTGTAACTTCCTCTGGGTTTTCCCAGTGAATCTTTTGTTATGAAGTTTCTGGTCATTTACTGCGACAGAGAGAACAGCAGAGCCCTGAATTTTCCTCCTGGCCCTGTTGTCCACACATGGGCTATCTTAGATATATTATTCATTCTCAAGATGTCTTTCACCTTTCAAGCTCAGCACCTTTCTCCAGAAGCCTGCTCCTCTGTGCTGTGTTTCTGGCCTCAGTGAGTGAGGACAGTCACCCAGCCATCACGCGAGGAACTCAGCGGCCATCTGTGCCTTCATCTTCCTTGCAGTCAGAGGATCACTAAGTCTCACTGTTCTTCTTTAAAGCCCTCCCCATTTCTGCCCTGAATTACTGCAGCCGCCTCCCTGCTCTGCCATCCATCTAGGCATTACTGCCAGGGTAATCTTTCCGTATGTGAGTGCTGCTGATATTGGTTCTCCAAAAGGACTGCTGTGGCTCCTGTCTCCTTCGGGGTGAGATTCGAGCCATGGAGCAGCAGCTTCAGCATCCAGTCCATTTGTTGGGTCTCAGGTCCTCCAGTTTTCCTTGGATTCTCCTTCCTCACCAATCCACCGCACACTTCACTCCAACCACACAAAACACAGTTTTCAGAACAAGCCACACTGCTTCATGCCTCCCATCGGGGTCTCTCAATCTCCGTATTATTTATGCTCGGGGCTGGAGAGCTGTGTTGTAGGGGCCTGGCCTGTGTGCTGTAGGATGTTAGCAGCAAACCTGGCCTCTACCCACCACGTGCCAATAGCATACCCACCCCCCAGTTTTGATAACAAAACACCTTTGGACATTACCAAATGTGCCCTGAAAAATCATCCCCAGTTGAAAGCAGTTGCTCTTTGCTTTTACAAATGCTGGTCCTTTTACCTGGAATAACCTTCCCTTCATACTGAACTCCTACCCAGTCATCTCTTCGAAACTTCAACCCAGTCATCTTCAAAGCTTCAAAAGTCAACCCAGTCATCTCTTCTTCTCTGGTGACCTCCTTGCTCAGGCACAGCCAGAGCTAATCCTTATTTTCCTGGTGAAGCCAGCATTCTTTGTAATACCTCTAAAATCAAGCTCATCTCACTATACTGGAGTCTTTTGCTTGCAAGTGTCTTTCTTTGCACTGGCCTATGAGTGTCCAGGAGAAATGGCAGAGATCATGGCTTCTTTGTGCCCTCCTTGTCTGGGGTAGATCCTAGCAAGGCACACACCTGGGGAAAGTTTGTTCAAAGAAGGAACTGAATTCATCTTATTCTCTCATGTTAATGGCAATTAAAACATGTTCCTTTATGGTGATGTTGACACCAATATTTTGTGTTTACTAAGATAAACTCTAAACCAAAACTGGAGCCTAATTTTGCTTCTGAGGTTCTGATTTAGAATGCTAAAAGGAAACAGGTGTGAAAGCTAAGCACTTATTCTACAGGTGGGAATGTCAATGATGGGGAACAAAATCAAAATTCCTTATGGAGCCCAACCAAGCCGTTGTTTCTTCTCATCATAAAACTGATCTTAGCGGCATTTATTTAGGGTCTAATATATGTCATGCTATACTAAGATTTAATGAGATCACTATCTGATTTCCCAAATCTTTCTGAAACAAATAGATTAGCAAATTCTACCATAAACTTACACAAATTGGCATCAACTTTTGAAAAGCTGGCATTTGCACATAAATTACTATTTCATGATGACTCTATGTACAACAGATGTCTGATGTATTCTCCCAGCTCTAGAATAGTCAATAGAGGAATAAGAATATCAAAATTATTAAGCAAATCCAGAAAGTGAAATTTTTACCCAGGCAACTGGTCTTATCCCTTCAAAAATCGATGTAAATCACTAGACAAGGAAAACACGTTACCAAACACTAAAGAATTAATCCTGGAAAAGGTAAACATACAGGTAAATATAAAATACTTTTATCTTGCTTTTCATAATTTTTTATGAAATAATTTACAGTTTAAGCAAAAATAACAAAGCATGATGGTGTTTAGGACGTATGTAGAAACAAACTGTATGAAAGTATGGCTGTGGCATGTCATTGAAACATATACATATATGTTTTCATCCACAGTTCCTTGTTCATAACTCTCATAGCCCTTGTGACAGTAAACAGAATCTCTCTCTCACACCTTCTCCTGCCCTTCTTTCCCCCGCCCATGGCTGGATTCTGTGGGTCATGAGACCCTCATTCCAAAGAGGGTTTTGTCTCATAACCTGGAGGAAGGAAGGCTACACAGAGAGGCCAAGAAGAATCTGAACACACAGGCCTTGCTGGGTTTAGAACCCATTTTGTCCAATCACATTTCCACAGTCACCCATGCTTCAATCAGGCCTATCCAACAAATTCCCCATATAAAGACCCAAGAGGACAGGGTTTGGAAGCTTCTGGAGAGCTGAACACATGAAGGGTGACTAAAAGGTGAAGAACTCATTCACGTGCTGAGAGGGTGGTGCTCCCTGAATCCACATGGACACAAGCTCCTGCACCTGGGACCCTTCAAAATCTTCCAGACCTCATCCTGTGTGTATCTCTTCATATGGCTGTCCATCCGTATCCTTTAAAATGTCCTTCATAATAAACTGGTAAACAACATAAGCATTTCCCTGAGTTCTGTGAGCCACTCCAGCAAATTAATCAAACCCATAGAGGGGATTGTGGGAAGCCCAGCTTGAAGCCAGTTGATTAGAAATTCCAGAAGCCTGGACTTATGACTGGTGTCTGGGGGTGGGGAAGTGGCAGCCTTGCAGAACGGGCCCTCTCTTTGTGGGATCTGATGCCAGCTCTGGGTAGATAGAGTTGGAATTGAACTGGAGGACGTCCAGCTGGTGCCCACTGCAGAGGTGACTGCCTGCTTGCTGGTGAGGAGAAAGCCCCCACATACTCAGGGTCTCAGAAGTCTGCTGTGTAGATTGCTGTTGTGTTGGTGTGGACGCAGAGGAGAAACAGTTCGGGTTTTTCCTAAGAATGACAGTAGCACAAAAGATGGGAGGAGGAGATAGAAATATATTGTTGCAAGGTTTTTACAATATACGTGAATGGGTATCATATTATATGAAATTAAATGGTGATAAGTTTAAATTGCAAAATATAAATCCAGAGAATTCTTCTGGCCCTTATCCAAGACCATCAAGGCAGTACTTCTCTGAGTCTGCAAGAATCACAGTGTTACTGGGTTTGGGGTGCCCCCTAATACAGATATGGCTTAGACTGCAACACCCAAGTCCCTTGGAATACCTGGAAAGCTTTCCCAGAAAGGATGGGTACAAAAAAGCCCAACTGCAAAGATGACACTGCCTAACTCTTCAATGCCCAGACACTACCAAACATCCACAAGCATCAAGACTCTCCAGGAAAATATGGCCTCGTCAAATAAATAAGTCACCAGGAGCCAATTCCAGAAAGACAGAGGTATGTGATCTTTCAGAGAATTCAAAATAGCTGTTTTGAGGAAACTCAATGAAATTCAATATAACACAGGGAAGCAATTTAGGATCCTAGCAAACACATTTAACAAAGAGATTGAAATAATTTTTAAAAATCAAGCAGAAATTCTGGAGTTAAAAAATGCAACTGACATACTAAAGAATGCATCTGAATCTCTTAATAGCAGAATTGATCATGAAGAAGAAGGAATTAGTGAGCTTGGGGCCAGGCCTGGTGACTCACGCATGTAATACCAGCATTTTGGGAGGCTGAGGCTAGCAGATCACCTGAGGTCAGGAGTTCAAGACTTCCCTGGCCAACATGGTGAAACCTCATCTCTACTACAAATACAAAAATTAGCCAGGTATGGTGATGGGCACCTGTAATCCCAGGTACTAGGGAGGCTGAAACACGAGAATCACTTGAACCCAGATGGCGGACGTTGCAGTGAGCTGAGATTGGGCCACTGTTCTCTAGCCCGGGTGACAGAGCAAGACTTTGTCTTTAGAAAAAAAAAAAAAAGATTTAGTGACCTTGAAGACAGGCTAATTGAAAATACCTCCTAGTCAAAGGAGACAAAAGGAAAAAAATGAAATAGAATGAAGCAGGCCTAGAAGATCTAGAAAATACCCTTCAAGTGGCAAATCCAAGAGTTATTGGCCTTACAAGGAGGTAGAGAGAGATAGGGGTCCAAAGTTTATACAAAGGGAAATTTCTTACAACTGCATGTGAAATGAATCTATAATTATACACACAATTTTAGTTGTAAAAAACTAGATAAAATAGTCTTTTTGAACAGACATTTCACAAAAGAAGATAAAAAAAGGCCAATAAGCACATGAAAGATTCTCAGCATAATTAGTTCTCTGGAAATGCAAATTAAAATCATAATGAGATACTACTACATACCCATTAACATAGCCAAAATTACCCAAATAACCACCCAGAAAAATACCAAATATTGGCAAGCATACATTTCTGTATGAGAGAAGCAAGGATGTCATATATTTAATGGAAACTATCACACATTCCTGGTGGAAATATAATGCAATGAGTTTTATTATCATTCTATTTATACATTTTTAAAAAAGGGAGCAACGGCAGGTCATTTACTTATAAAAGTCTCAAAATCATTCTACCGGTGACTTCCTTTCATAAATAACCACTCTCTATAAAACACTTGCCAAGAAACACATGGATCCTACAAGGGTCGGGTGTTACTCTTATCAATCATTATTGATAAACAATTATGATGAGGGGACCCAAAGAAGGCGATGTACCCGCTGTGGCACCGGTGGCCACAAGGTGGCGTGAATGTCGAGCGGCTGCCCCAGCCACCTAGAAAGAGATTGGAGCAGCCAGGCTTCCAGAAGCAGAGGAGGCCTCACAGAGGGCACCGAGACTAGACAGGAACCTCTCACCTTGTGAATTTCCCTAAAGAGGGGTCTTCCTAGATAAGCTTTGAAGGAAGACCCAGTACCTACACAGTAAGGCACAAGTTACTGTGAAGAAATCTACGTCAAACTAGATGAGGCCTATGTTACCTTAACTACGGCCTCATTTACCCTACCTAGGACCTGATGGGGCTTAAATTATCCTACACCCACATTATTCTAGATCAGGGTTTCTTAGCCCTCTCATTATTGACAGTTTGGGCTGGAGAATTCTTTGACTCCTCGGTTTGGGGAGCCTCTGCCCACCTGCCCAACTGTGGCAAACAAATTCATCTCCAGTCCTTGCCCATGACCCTTACTGGGCAAAATTGCTCACAGTTGAGAGCCACTGCCCCAAATAAGGCTTAAATTACTAGTAAGGCTGATATTACACCAAAACCAGTCTCCATTTTCTTAGATCAATGGTTCTTAAACTAGAGCCTGCAAAGAATCCCCGAAGGAGCTTGTGAAGCTGCCTACACCTGAGCCTTCCCCCGGAGTTCCTGGTTTCTGTGTCTAACCTATTTCTAGATGATGTAGATGCTGTCGATGCAAGGACCTCACTTTGAGAAGCACTGTCCCAGATGGTGACTACATTACCCATACGCACATTTCTCTAAAGCCTCCATTTCCCTAGGACCACCTTATCCTAATTGAGGCTTACAACAGACTTGAGGTGTTCATGTTACTATTTTTATTATTAAGGTAAAACCAGGAAATTTTCATAGAAAAGAATTCAAAAGCTTCTGAACAAGGTATTATATGCATAGAAATACCTCAACATAACATAGATGCTGGGAAACAAAGGCATTGTCAGCCTTGGGCATGAGGAAGGGCAGGGTGCAGGCAGGGCACAGGCAGGGCTGCTGGCTTCAGCCCTGGGTCTTCTTTGAAGATGGAAAAGGAAAACAATAGAAGACATCAGTTTAAACAAATACTTCAGTAATTTTCATGTTGAAATTAGAAGAGCTTCTGTTGCACTTTGGGAATTGCTACTTTATTTTGACTCTAGATATGAATAAGCAAATAGCATGCTACTGCAATCAACTTTGACAAAGACAAAATTGTACTGGTGACTTTTTCAAGGGCAGCTTATGGAAGACGTCCGATTACAAACTTGGTGAATGGCGAAGAATATTCATCCCTCACAGATTTTTTAAAATTATCTTGGTTTTTAGTAAAAATCACGTTGTCTTTAACAGCCACAGACACCAAAGAAGTTCTACCACATCATTTTTTCATATGATTACGGCTCATTTATAAGAATTTCTACTATTTCAAAGTGTATTTATTTGTAACTCAAAAGAAGATCAGTCTATTTTTCTGCCTACTCGGCTGTAGAATACCACCCTCTACTAATGGCTCATTGACTCAAGGTTACCTTAAAGGAAACCAGACCCAGGGTCAAGAAGGAATCAAGCCCTGTGCATACTCAGTGCTATTCATGTGTTCACAGAATGATTATGGGACAGACATTGCACGTGGGCATTTGTTTCATATTTGCATCACGTGGAGGTTTACATAGCAAATATTAACTATTCCAGGCCAGGCCTGATGGCTCACGCCTGTAATCCCAGCGCATTGGGATGCAGAGGCGGGTGGATCACCTGAGGTCAGGAGTTCGAAACCAGCCTGGCCAGCATGGTGAAACCCCATCTCTACTAAAAATACAAAGTGAGCCGGGTGTGACACCACACACTTGTAATCCCAGCTGGCTCACAGAGCATTTTTCTCCAAGCATCTCAAGCCCAGTATGAAGTGGATGTGTCCTGGCTCAGAATGTTCCCTCAGTGACAGCAATTGCTTCTCACACCACCTCTTACAATAGGAATAGGCCTTAGAAAACCCAGCAATCTATTGGGATACTTCAGCGCAGCAAGCAAGGAATCACTAAAGCCACCAGGGGGCCCCTCCCCTGGAGCTCCATATGCACTGATACCTCCAGACACATGGCAAGTGCAGGAACTGATGGGGACTTTGGGGCAGCCTCTTTTTTTTAGGATTCTGTGGTTGAAGATTATATCAGATTAGAACTTTATGCACAGACCCTGTTTCTCAAAGCCCCTGCCCCCACACTCACAGTGGAATATTTGCACAGTAACAAACCTCAAATTTGCCCTCCTTCCTAGTGTCTTGCCAATGAAAAGTGCTTCCGACTCTGACCCTAGTCCTGCTTATGTTTGTTGTTTTGTTGTTTGTTTTTTCCAAGCAGAGCTAAAGCAAGCTCAGTACTATTGGAGATTTGGAAAGTGCCTTCACATTGTCTTTGCCAATTCTCACCTGAGAGCCCTGCAGACGCCCCACGAGAGGAAAATCTAAGGTCATTGAGGGAGGGGCCGTGATCTTGGTCCTGAAGCTGTTGCTTTCAGAGGCTTTAAATCACTTCACTGTACTTGACTTGTTCTCTCCCAGTGCCTTTGGTTTCCCTAAGTTCTAGTCCTTAGACAGAGCATGTGCCTTGCAAAACTTTTCTCTTTAATCCATCTTAATCCTAGTGAGCAGGTGATATGGTGGGCAGGGGAGCAGTATATGTTCAATGATTTCTTGCTGTGCTTTCTTTAGGCTGTACCCTTTACAAGGAGTCTCCAGTCATACAGCTGATTTTCCTCCGTCCTCTACTCCACCTCCTGGCTGTAGCATACACAGATTATTGTCTTGAATCTGACCCCAGTTGTTTATTAATTATACCCCTTTTCATGACACGGGAAGGCTAAGATGAAGCTGTCTGGGATGGAAAAGAATCCCTTCCTCTCACATAGAATAAAGATCTTGAAAAGTATTTTTTCTTTGTAGGGTCTGTCTGGAGAAAGTTCTGGGCATATTTATCAGAAAATAGTTCTCCTGATGACAGAGCCATGAGGGCATCTGTTTGAATTCTCGTCTTGAGAACCCAGAAGCTTTTGGAGGGAAATTCCATAAAAGTGTGAGGTGTGTGGCCCCCAGTTCTTACCCTACCCTTTCCCTGCTTCTCCTCCAGGCATTTATGGAATTACCATGTAACTCTTCGCACCAGCTTGTGCTTTCAATGGAAGAATCACCCAATCTATCAATTTAGAAAGGAGATTTTATTTCTGAAAAAGGGTTGGAGCTGCAGGACGGCCATCTTAACAGGCTGGAAAGCAAAGCCTCCCACAGAGACTGTGAGCAGGCACTTCAAGAGAGGGAAAGACAAGAAATGAATTCATGCGAATGGATTGGCCAAGCGTACACACTCAGCAGGCTATAGAAGGACCTATTGATAGTCACATGACAGGCAGGCTCTCATGTGTAATAAGCAAACACAAACGTTACATGCATTTCATATTTGCTTTTGGGTGAGGACATGAGAACTAGACGAATTACAATCTGGCTCTGTACACGAAAACGGCTTTGTGCAGGGGCAGAAAGACACACAGTGCACAGCCTCCGGAAATTGGCCAGGACAAGTCCATGGTCAGTCTCAGCTCTTTTTCCTCAACTTCAGTTCTACCTGGTTCCACTTCAGCACTGTGCCTGGAAACTCCCTTAAGGAAGCATCTGAGCGTGCATTCATCAGAGGACTCCTTTTGTTTATTTCCCACCTCTCAGCAATTACTGTCCTTGTTACCTGTTGTCACACATCATAAAATTGAATTTAAGAAATTTCACTATGTTTTACAAGTATTTCTGGTGGAAAGATACATCTGGTCTCTGTTGTCAAACCTAGTTTGAAAGTGATCATCTTGCACAAAAAATATTAGAATTAATTTTATGATGTTCACCAAGATTTATCTTGGAATGTATACAAATATTCAACCTTAAATTTCAAGGTATCACAAAATTTTGTTACATATATATATATACTCTATATATAGTGTTTATTTTGTCTTACATATATATTAATTATACCAATAGAATTATATAGTGTTATTTTGTTTTATATATATATAAACATTATATATAGTGTTTGGTATATATATAGTTTATTATATATAATATATATAGTGTTTATTTTGTTATATATATAAACACTATATATAGTGTTTGGTATATACAGTGTTTATTTTATTATATATAATATATATATAGTGTTTATTTTGTTATATATATATAAACACTATATATAGTGTTTGGTAGAATATCATACCTAATTTTAAAATATTCAAAATATCTATATCTGTCACATAAGTAAAGCACAAGCTCTACATTGCCCTAATAGAAGAGCTTCCTATTTGTCTTTCTCCCACAATGTCAGGGGATGAAAGCAGGTGGTCCCCACTGAGAGTACTTCCTGGATTAGATCCTTGGAATGTCAGTTTCCTGCCTGATCATCTCATTTTCATTCCTCAAATCAGAACATGAATTCCATCTTGAGTTAACTTCTCCTCCAGAGTATGAAAGCATCATTCCTGCTGCTTCTCCTCTAGGCTGATTCAACAGGATGTGCTTCATCTTTTGCACTGTGAAGATATTCTTTGGGGTCAAAAGCCCCTTCCTGGCTATCTGGTTGTCTGGCGATGCGCTCATTATTGTCCCTAGAACCTTCCTGTATCCTGGTCCCTGGAGTATGCTCTTGGCCTGGGGGTTCAGTTCCTTCCTGAAACATGATGTTTTGCTCAGCTCCAGCATGAGGCTGTAGAACTGGCTCAGTTCCTAATCCTGGAAGCTGGGAGGAGTTTTTCAGGTGGTAGTGGCACAGAGGGCAGGTCTCCTGGACATACAGCCATTTCTTAAGACAGCCTGCATGGAAAAAATGAACGCAAGGCGTGATCACAGCAGATTTCATGTCCCAAACAGATTCTTATCGAAGGAGTTACCTGATAACAGATGGCACAAATATCATTGTGTTTCTCAAGCTGCTCTTTCGTAGCAATGGGTAACGATTTAATCTTATTCACAGCATCCCTGTGGAGAAGAAAGCTCTTCCACCCCAGCTGGGCCTGAAGCCACACGTTATAGTAGGAATGAATGGATGATCATTGAGCCCATCACTGTCCATTCTCCAAAGATGGTCTCTGAGACGCAATAGGCCACCATACAGACGGCCGCAAGAAACTCCAGCAGGTGGTAAGTGCCATTCACATAGTAGATGACATCATCCATGTTTTCCACCGGCTCTTTTCTGAATTCCTCAACCATAAATCAGACATAAATAAAAAGTGTTCCCAGAACCTGAAGAGAGGTAAGAATGCTGCTGGAAATAATGATAAGAAGCCAAAAATCCAGGTGGAAAAACTTGCAAATCATATAAGCCATATGAGCAGGGAATACCAATAAAAATAAACAAAGTCGCACAGCACGGAAGTGTTTCCACAAGCTCTTGTCTCTGGATGCTCCCAGTGCCAAAACAATAGGATCTGCAATTTCTAACATAGACTGTAGGATAGAAGCTGCAACAATGAAAAGGATAATACTGAGCAGGAATGCCCGATGAACAACCTGCAGTTCTATCAGCCCAGTCTGCACTGCCAGGATTAACAGCGTTACTCCTTCTGTCATGCTCCAATTCATGGCAGGATCATTCCTGAAAGCTCGATAACCCTGCAAGTAAAACTCGCAGAGTGTGAGAACACCCAAGGCAACAAAAGAAACCGTGAAGACCAAACCCAAAAGAGAGTAAGGAGTGCTGCAGCATTCTGCAATACTTGTCAGAAAAAGGAAAAGAAGCCTCTCACGTGATGCCGGCTGATCTCGAGTACTGAAATAGGAGTAAATCTGAAGAGCAAATAAGATGAGCCAGAAAACCATGAAAAGAACAGGGACTACCAGTTGATTCCGCAAGGACATTCCCAAGGTGAGAAGGCCATATACCTCCACTACCTGAACCAATTCTCTGTATGCAGATTTAGCAAGGTTATAAGGTAGCAAAAGATTAGACCCAAGAAAATAGAGAACTTCCAATCCAGTAAAAATCATAGCAAATTTATTGATGATAACAATTGTCTCCAAAGGAACCAGGCAGAGTCGTGCTAGCAGAGGAAGCACGTGAGCTGAAAACAGCCAAATCTGCTTTGTTTTCATGACACAGGAGCATAAAGTACACACCACCAACTGACCTATTAAGGCTGTGGTAAACCGATTCATAGAGAGAGGTTCTAAATACATTGGTCCCTCATAGGCAAACTGCAGTTCACTCCGAACGTAGTCCCTGGAAATTTGATGTCCAGTATAGAAAAGCAGAGCAGTCAAAAAATATAGATAAAGCTGAACCAGATGTTGCCTGGGCAATGTTAGCAGCACCACACTTAAGATATAACCTCAGGCTGTGGACTCCCTCCCTGGGGAGCGGTGCTGCCGGCGGCGGGCGGGCTCCGCAACTCCCCGGCTCTCTCGCCCGCCCTCCCGTTCTCCTCGGGCGGCGGCGGGGGCCGGGACTGCGCCGCTCACAGCGGCGGCTCTTCTGCGCCCGGCCTCGGAGGCAGTGGCGGTGGCGGCCATGGCCTCCTGCGTTCGCCGATGTCAGCATTTCGAACTGAGAGTCATCTCATTGGGACTGGTTAGACAGTGGGTGCAGCCCACGGAGGGCGAGTTGAAGCAGGGTGGGGTGTCACCTCCCCCAGGAAGTCCAGTGGGTCAGGGAACTCCCTCCCCTAGCCAAGGGAGGCCGTGAGGGACTGTGCCCGGTGAGAGACTGTGCCCTGAGGAAAGGTGCACTCTGGCCCAGATACTACACTTTTCCCACGGTCTTCAAAACCCGCAGACCAGGAGATTCCCTCGGGTTCCTACACCACCAGGACCCTGGGTTTCAACCACAAAACCGGGCCATTTGGGCAGACACCAAGCTAGCTGCAAGAGTTGTTTTTTTTTTTTTATACTCCTGTGGCACCTGGAACGCCAGCGAGAGAGCACCTTTCACTCCCCTGGAAAGGGGGCTGAAGGCAGGGAGCCAAGTGGTCTAGCTCAATGGATCCCCCCCTACGGAGCCCAGCAAGCTAAAATCCACTGGCTTGAGATTCTTGCTGCCCGGACAGCAGTCTGAAGTTGACCTGGGATGCTCGAGCTTGGTGGGCGGATGGGCGTTTGCCATTACTGAGGCTTGAGAAGGCAGTTTTCCCCTCACAGTGTAAACAGAGTCACCTGGAAGTTCAAACTGGCCGGAGCCCACCACAGCTCAGCAAAGCTGCTGTAGCTAGACTGCCTTTCTAGATTCCTCCTCGCTATGCAGGGCATCTCGGAAAAAAAGGCAACTGTCCCAGTCAGGGGCTTATAGATAAAACCCCCATCTCCCTGGGACAGAGCACTTGGGGGAAGGGGTGGCTGTGGACACAGCTTCAGCAGACTTAAACATTCCTGCCTGCTGGCTCTGAAGAGATGAGCAGATCTCCCAACACAGCGCTCCACGCTGCTAAGGGACAGACCGCCTCTTCCAGTGGGTCCCTGGCCCCCATGCCTCCTGACTGGGAGACACCTCCCAACAGGGGTTGACAGACTCCTCATACAGGAGTGCTCCAGCAGGCATCTGGCAGGTGCCCCTCTAGGACGAATCAGAAGAAGAAGCAGGCAGCAATCTTTGCTGTTCTGCAGTCTCTGCTGGTGATACCCAGGCAAATAGGATCTAGAGTGGATCTCCAGCAAACTCAGCAGACCTGCAGCTGAGAGGCCTGACTTTTAGAAGGAAAACTAACAAACAGAAAGGAATAGTATCAACATCAACAAAAAGGACGTCCACACAGAAACCCCATCTGAAGGTCACCAACATCAAAGACCAAAGGTAGATAAATCCACAAAGATGAGGATAAACCAGTTCAAAAGGGCTTAAAATTCCCAAAACCAGAACACCTCTTCTCCTCTAAAGGATCACAACTCCTCATCAGCAAGGGGAACAAAACTGGACGGAAAATGAGTTTGACGAACTGACAGAAGGAGGCATCAGAAGGTGGGTAATAACAAACTCCTCTGAGGCAAAGGAGCGTGTTCTAACCCAATGCAGGGAAGCTAAGAACCTTGAAAAAAGGTTAGACGAATTGCTAACTAGAATAACCAGTTTAAAGAAGAACATAAATTACCTGATGGAGCTGTAAAACACAGCACAACAACTTCGTGACGCATACACAAATATCAATAGTTGAATTGAACAAGTGGAAGAAAGGATATCAGAGATTCAAGACCAATTTAATGAAATAAAGTGTGAACACAAGATTAGAGAAAAAAGAATGAAAGGAATGAACAAAGCCTCCAAGAAATATTGGAGTATGTGATAAGACCAAACCTTCGTTTGACTGGTGTACCTGAAAGTGATGGGGAGAATGGAACCAAGTTGGAAAACACTCTTCAGGATATTATCCAGGAGAACTTTCCCAACCTAGCAAGACAGGCCAACATTCAAATTCAGGAAATACAGAGATACTCCTCGGGAAGAGCAACTGCAAGACACATAATCTTCAGATTCACCAAGGTTGAAATGAATGAAAAAATGTTAAGGGCAGCCAGAGAGAAAGGTCGGTTTACCCGTAAAGGGAAGCCCATCAGACTATCAGCAGATCTCTCTGCAGAAACCCTACAAGCCAGAAGAGAGTGGGGGCCAATATTCAATATTCTTAAAGAAAAGAATTTTCAACCCAGAATTTCATATCCAGCCAAACTAAACTTCATAAGCAAAGGATAAATAAAAACCTTTACAGACAAGCAAATACTGAGATTTTTTGCACCACCAGGCCTGCCTTACAAGAGCTTCTGAGGGAAGCACTAAATATGGAAAGGAAAAACCAGTACCAGCCACTGCAAAAACATACCAAATTGTAAAGATCATCAACAGTATGAAGAAACTACATCAACTAATGGGCACAACAATCAGCTAACATCATAATGACAGGATCAAATTTATACATAACAATGTTAACCTTAAATGTAAACAGGCTAAATGCCCCAATTAAAACACAGAGACTGACAAATTAGATCAAGACTCAAGACCCATTGGTGTGCTGTAGTCAGGAGACGCATCTCATGTGCAAAGACTCACCAAGGTCTCAAAATAAAGGGATGCAGGAATATTTACCAATCAAATGGAAAGAAAAAAAAATAGTGGTTGCACCCCTAGTGTGTTATAAAACAGACTTTAAACCAACAAACATCAAAAAAGACAAAGAAGAGGATTACCTAATGGTAAAGGTATCAATGCAACGAGAAGAGCTAACTATCCTAAATATATATTCACCCAATACAGGAGCACCCAGATTCATAAAGCAAGTTCTTAGAGACCTACAAAGAGACTTAGACTCCCGCACAATAATAGCTGGAGACTTTAACACCTCACTGTCAATATTTGACAGATCAATGAGACAGAAAATTAACAAGGATATTCAGAACTTGAACTCAGCTCTGGACCAAGTGGATCTAATGGACATCTACATAAATCTCCACCCCAAATCAACAGAATATACATTCTTCTCAGCACCACATCACACTTATTCTAAAACTGACCATATTATTGGAAGTAAAACACTCTTCAGCAAATACAAAAGAATGGAAATCAGAACAAACAGTCTCCCAGACCACAGTGCAATCAAATTAGAACTCAGGATTAAGAAACTCTTCAAAACTGCTCAAGTACATGAAAACTGAACAAGCTGCTCCTGAATGACTACTGGGTAAATAATGAAATTAAGGCAGAAATAAATAAGTTCTTTGAAACCAATGAGAACAAAGATACAATGTACCAGAATCTCTGGGACCCAGCTAAAGCAGTGTTTAGAGGGAAATTTATAGCACTAAATGCCCACAAGAGGAAGCATGAAAGATCTAAAATCAACACACTAACATCACAATTAAAGAACTAGAGAAGCGAGAGCAAACTAATTCAAAAGCTAGCAGAAGACAAGAAATAACTAAGATCAGAGCAGAACTGAAAGAGATAGAGACACAAAAATCCCTTCAAAAAATCAGTGAATCCAGTAGGTGATTTTTTGAAAAGATTAACAAAATAGATAGACTGCTAGCCAGACTAATAAAGAAGAAAAGAGAGAAGAATCAAATAGACACAATAAAAAATGAGGAAAGGCATATCGTCACTCATCCCACAGAAATACAAACTACCATTAGAGAATACTATAAGCACCTCTATACAAATAAACTAGAAAATCAGAGGAAATGGATAACTTCCTGGACACATACACCCTCCCAAAACTAAACCAGGAAGAGGTCGAATCTCTGAAGAGACCAATAACAAGTTCTGAAATTGAGGCAGTAATTAATTGCCTACCAACCAAAAAAAGCCCAGGTCAAGACAGATTCACAGATGAATTCTTCCAGAGGTACAAAGAGGTGCTGGTACCATTCCTTCTGAAACTATTCCAAACAACAGAAAAAGAGGGACTCCACCCTAACTCATTTTATGAAGCCAGCATCATCCTGATACCAAAACCTGTCAGAGACACAACACCAAAAAAATTTCAAGCCTATATCCCTGATAAACATTGATGCAAAAATCCTCAATAAAATACTGGCCAACCAAATCCAGCAGCACATAAAGAAGCTGATCCACCATGATCAAGTCGGCTTCATCCCTGGGATGCAAGGCTGGTTCAACATACACAAATCAATAAACATAATCCATCACATAAACAGAACCAATGGAAAAAAACACACAATTATCTCAATAGAAGCAGAAAAGGCCGTCAATAAAATTCAACACCACTTCATGCTAAAAACTTTCAATAAACTAGGTATTGATGGAACATATTTCAAAATAATAAGAGCTATTCATGACAAATCCACGGCCAATATCATACTGAATGGGCATAAACTGGAAGCATTCTCTTTGAAAACCAGCAAAAGACAAAGATGCCCTCCCTCACCACTCCTCCTATTCAACATAGTATTGGAAGCTCTGGCCAGAGCAATCAGGCCAGAGAAAGAAATAAAGGTATTCAAATAGAAAGAGAGGAAGTCAAATTATCTCTGTTTGCAGATGACATGATTGTATATTTAGAAAACCTCCTCCTCTCAGCCCAAAATCTCCTTAAGCTGATAAGCGACTTCAGCAAAGTCTCAGGATACAAAATCAATGTGCAAAAATCACAACAATTCCTATACACCAATAATAGACAACCAGAGAACCAAATAATGAGTGAACTCCCATTCACAATTGCTACAAAGAGAATAAAATACCTAGGAATACAACTTACAAGGGATGTGAAGGATCTCTTCAAGGAGAACTACAAACCACTGCCCAAGGAAATAAGAGAGGACACAAACAAATGGAAAAATATTTCATGGACATGGAAAGGAAGAATCAATATTGTAAAAACGGCCATACTGCCCAAAGTAATTTATGGATTTAATGCTATCCCCATCAAGCTACCATTGACTTTCTTCTCAGAATTAGAAAAAAAACTACTTTACATTTCATATGGAACCAAAAAAGAGACTGTAAAGTGAAGACAATCCTAAGCAAAAACAAACAAACAAACAAAGCTGGAGGCATCATGCTACCTGATTTCAAACTATACTATAAGGCTACAGTAACCAAAACAGCATGATGCTGACACCAAAACAGATATATAGACTAATGGAACAGAACAGGGGCCTCAGAAATAATCCCACACATCTAGAACATCTGATCTCTGACAAACCTGACAAAAACAAGCAATGGGGAAAGGATTTCCTATTTAATAAATGGTGTATGGAAAACTGGCTAGACATATGCAGAAAACTAAAACTGGACCCCTTCCTTACACTTTACACAAAAATTAACTCAAGATGGATTAAAGACTTAAATGTAAGACCTAAAACCATAAAAACCCTAGAAGAAAACCTAGGCAATACCATTCAGGACATAGGCATGGGCAAGGACTTCATGACTAAAACACCAAAAGCAATGGCAACAAAAGCCAAAATTGACAAATGGGATCTAATTAAACTAAAGAGCTTCTGCACAGCAAAAGAAACTGTCATTGGAGTGAACAGGCAACCTACAGAATGGGAGAAAATTTTTGCAATCTATCCATCTGACAAAGAGCTAATATCCAGAATCTCTAAGGAACTTAGACAAATTTAAAAGAAAAAAAACAAACAACGCCATCAAAAAGTGGGTGAAGGATATGAGCAGACACTTCTCAAAAGAAAACATTTATGAGACCAACAAACATATGAAAAAAAGGTCATCATCGCTGGTCATTAGAGAAATGCAAATCAAAACCACAGTGAGATAGCATCTCATGCCAGTTAGAATGGCAATCATTAAAAAGTCAGGAAACAACAGATGCTGGAGAGGATGTAGAGAAATAGGAATGCTTTTACACTATTGGTGGGAGGGTAAATTAGTTCAACCATTGTGGAAGACACTGTGGCAATTCCTCAAGGATCTAGGCCTAGAGATACCATTTGTCCCAGCAATCCCATTACTGGGTATATACCCAAAGGATGAACAATTAATCCACTATAAAGACACATGCACGTGTATGTTTATTGCAGCACCGCTGACAATAGCAAAGACTTGGAACCAACCCGAATGCCCATCAGTGATAGACCGGATAAAGAAAATATGTCACATATACATTACGGAATACTATGCAGCTATAAAAAAGAATGAGTTCATGTTCTTTGCAAGGACATGGATGAATCTGGAAACCATCATCCTCAGCAAACTAACACAGGAACAGAAAACCAAACACTGCATGTTCTCCCTCATGAGGGAGAGTTGAACAATGAGAACACATGGACACAGGGAGGGGAACATCACACAACAGGGCCTGTTGGGGGGTGAGGGGCTAGGGGAGGAATAACATTAGGAGAAACACCTAATATAGATGACGGGTTGATGGGTGCAGCAAACCACCATGGCATATGTATAGCTATGTAACAAACCTGCACGTTCTGCACATGTATCCCATCACTTAAAGTATAATTAAAAAAAGGTAACTTTGCAAAATATTTAGAGAGATTTATTCTGAGCCAAATGTGAGGACCATGCCCTGTGACACACCTTAGAAGACCTTGAGAACATGTGCCCAAAGTGGTTTGATTGCTCTTATATCTAATGTCTTAGAGAGACATTTGACATCAATCAATACATGTGAGATATGTGTTGATTTGGTCTATAAAGACAAAACAGCAAGAAGTGAGGCAGTGTGGGGAGGGGATTACAGCTTACAGGTGGATTCAAAGTTTTTCTTATTGGCAATTGATTAAAAGACTTAAGGTTTTATCTAAAGACCTGAAATCAGTTGAAAAAGTTTCTAGATTTAGAGAGCGGGCTTTGGAGAACAATATTCTTATTATGCAGATGAAGTCTCTTATGTGGCCACCCTTAGAGGCAATAGATGGCAAGTGTTTTCTATTAAGACCTTTAAAAGATGCTAGACTCTCAGTTAATCTCCTCCATATAACAAAAACACCTGGAAAGGTAAAGCGATTCTCTACAGAATGTAAATTTCTCTCACAAAATATAACTGTGCAGGGCAATTTAAAATATGTCAAAAATATACTTTAGGGCAAAAGACTTTGATTCCTCTCAAGGCCTGCTGTCATGTGATGCTATTCTTGAGTCAGGTTAGAATTTGGTATCTTACTGCTACAAAGAATCTATTTTCTGAGCCTTAAGATCTGTTTGAATGAAAATGCTGGTTAGTTGTGCTTGAATTCCAAAGGCAGGAGTGCATAATGAGGCATTTCTGATCCTTTCTTGCTAACATGGCCTAAACTAGCTTTTCAAGTATCTCTGGAACTCCTTTTTGAAGAGGAAGGGTCCATTCAGCCAGTTGGGTTGCTTAGAATTCTGTTTTTAGTTTATAGGACATATATGAGACTTATCCTAATCAGGGGTATCAGAAAATATTCATTGAGGTAATCACTTTAAAGTTGAGACATGAAAGATGGTCCCAGATTCCTCCCTGCAAACCTTCTCTCCTGATACTAGAAGAAAAGTTACAAGAAACAAATGTTAACATTTCTTCTGTGTTCAAAATTGCCCCCCATTAGGAAAATAATTAAACTTGCAAGACTTATCTTTAGAAACAAGTAATCTAGTTGATTTCTAAAGTCCTTTTACAAACCCACAGATTCTGATTAGTTTACAGATTACATAGAGCATCCCATCTAATGGGAATCTGCAATTAGCTGGATTCCCCTGCATTTGATTTTTAAATGTTGAATTTATACAGATACATAACAGTTCAAAACCTTTATGTGGTACATGTGATATTTTGATAAAATAATATGTGCAGTGATCAAACCTGGATAACCGGGATATCCTTCATCTCAATCATTGATTATTTCTTTGTGTTAAGGACATTCTAAATTTTCTCTTCTAGCTATTTTCAAATATACAATAAATTATTAACTGTAGTTGTCTATGTACCATTTTAGCATTCCCAACAGCAGTAAGTGAAAGTTCCTGATTTTCAGCTTTCTCTTCACCATTTGGTATTGTCTATATTGTTTATTTTACCCGTTTTAGCAGGTTAGCAGTATTTTTTGAATATTAAATGTACATTTACCTAATAAAAATCAAACTGATCACTTTTTATCTTTACTTTTAGATGTGGTTTCTCTTCAGGTCTTTGCCCATTTTAAAAATAAATTTTGTGGTTTTGTTGTTGTTCAATTATAAGTCAATTTATATATTTGTGATAAAAGCCCTTTTCCAAATATTGGATTTGCAAGCAAATTCTCCAAATCTATGGCTGATCTTTTCAGTCTCAGTTAAGGGTTTATTTTCAAATATCTAGGTTAGTTTGTCCATCTATGAAAAGAGGATAATCTTAATTCTAAATTCTTAGAATTATTAGAATAATAATGTAAGTTGAAATTATTCCAGTATCTGGCCCTTCACAAGTTTTAGTATAACACCAGTGAGAAAAATTTGCAGATTGTTCTGTGTAGACCAGAAATCAGAAGGTGATAAAGGGGCAATTAGATTTGAATAATCCGGAGATATGAAGTGTATTTGGTATTCACCTCCTTCTATTTCTCTATGAAGACAAAATGGATAGATGACCTCTCCATGTGAAATGGGACACATAAGTTTTTAAGATGATTCTGAAAGAAAGTTCCTTATACAATCACTCAGGTGATGTTCCAAACACAGGGCTGTGGAGGGGATGGTGGCTGCCGGTGGTTGCTGTCAGCCACAGGGTTGGTTTGTTTCCCACAGGTTCCAGAAATAGTTTCTAATAACAAATGTCATATTTTGTTTAGAATTGATTTATTTTTTATAATTTATTTTCTCCCTGTAGGCAGCACTCAGAAGTATGTTCTCAGAATAATTCCTGATCCTCTGTGAGTTCCTGGTGCAGCTCCTGGAGGCAAAGCCTGCATGGGGGAGGGAGCCCTCCTCACATCCAGCCCTGAGGCTGCCACGTCACTTCACCCACCGTTGCCCTTCAGTCACTTCCTGAACACTTATGAGTTGATCTTCCTGAAACATGTGGTATTTGGCAGTGTCTTTCCCAGGTAAGATAATACTTCCATTCTGTTTATCCCTGCAGGCACCTGTCCCTTTCTGGAATATAAATTGGTTTCGATTGTGTGGTAGTGGATAAGTGGGGGGAGGAGGTTTGTGTGCATCTTGTCATCTTCCAGAGTGCACCCCTCATGGGGTTGACAGTGACAAGCATGCAGATGGGCTTGCTCAGCTGGAAGATGACAGGCATTTTGGTAACCTGTGACCCCAGTGAGGCTCTCTCGCTGCAAGATCAATCAGGCTCAGGCCTCTGGCTAAAGTGCAGCCAGCAAGGGGTCCAGTGCCCAACCCTGAGAGCTCCTTCCAGGTACCAAACCACTTTCTAAGGGAAGCTTTTTTCCTGCCTGGATCCCATGCATGTGTTTGTATTTTCTTCACAAAGGCCTTTATCCAGAAACACCCCCCAAGAGCTTATAGTGTTTTGAATTCAACTGAAGGGCATTATTCATGAAAGCCCTCATGGCCAAAGTCTTCACTTCTCATTAAAGGACATTGATTATGGGATTCACCAGAAGCTGCTGGCCTTTCACAGGCACAGACCTTCCTCTACACCAGTGGTCCCCAACATTTTTGGCACCAGGGAACGGTTTCGTGGCAGACAATTTTTCCATGGATGATGGCGGTGAGTGATTATGGGATGAACTTACTCCACCTGCATTCATCAAGCATTAGATTCTCATAGGGAGCACTCAAACTAGGTCCTTTGCATGCCCAGTTCACAATAGAATTTGGATCCTAGGAGAATCTAGTGCACAGCTGATCTGACAAGAGGCGGAGCTCAGGCAGTGATGCTCACCCGCCGCTCACCTGCTGTGCTGCCTGGTTTCTAACAGGCTGCTGACCAGTTCTGGTTCACTGCCTAGGGGTTGGGGACCTCTGCTGTAAATGCTTGGAGACCTTACCCTCTGGGAAGGGGCATAGAAAAACAAGTCAGATGAGCTCCAAATCAATGTACATTTTATGGATTCTTGAGGAAAGAGTGCAAAGAGGAACGTCCCCACCCACTTTCCCTCTACCTGGCATCATTCCCAGTAATCCGCTTGAGGAACCCGGGGTGTTTCAAGATAGTTTAGGCTTGTTATACTAGGGGACGCCAGAAAAGGAAACAATTAATGTGTCCATGCGGGTTTGTCAGTTGCAAGTTATTACTTCAGTGCAGGGTATTGATCACGGAGAAGTCTGTGCGTATCTTGGGCAGGAATACATGGGAACTCTGTTTCTTCTACTCAAATTTGCTGTGATCCTAAAAGTGTTTTAAAATAAATGTAATGTAAAAAAAGTGGCAAAGACATTTTGGAAGAAATGTTGGCCACTTCTTAGAAATTATGTTTAGTCTTACCACGTGATAAAGCAATCCTGCTCCAAATGATTTATCCATTCGATTTTAAAATGTTATGTCCCCACAAGGCTTCCATGGGAGTGTTTGCATCAGCCTGATTGATTGCTGCCTTTCCCACTCTGTGAATTTTACTTACAGGGTGAAAGTTGAAAAGACTATTTCCTATATAATTAGAGTGTATACATCTTTCTATTGCTTCTTTTCCTCAATTACTTAACCCATTTTCTAAACACGTTTAAACCTCATAAATCCTGTCATCTTCTCACCCCCAGCACAGCTGCCTCCTTCCTCAAGGTTTCTGACACTCTCAGGATGTGGGTTTTCACACTGCGTGTCTTGCACATTAATATACGGCTGTGTCCTCAGATCTCAGGCTGCTCAGCTCCATGTAGGCTGTGTCTGTAGACGTGTCCCAGGTCGTGGTGACTCTGCCCTGGAATTCTGTGCATATATTGTTTCACCATCTTCAGGATCAACACGTTCCATCCACTCAAGCCCTTTTCCAGGGGCCTGTCGCCCCCAGTGTATGTAGTGGAAGGTGAAGGTGTATCTGGGATCACCTTCACTGAGGACCCAGGTTTCCTCACCTCAGCCCCAGACTGCACCGATTGGACCTGGGAATGGGCACCTGTGGAGAGGACAGAGAAGTGGTTGAGACTCCACTTAACTGGACCCAGTCCCCTCATCAGCCCTGGAACTTAGGATTCTCTTCCCTGTGGCTGCTGCCACCAAGAGGAGGATCCTCCCGGTCCAGTCCATGGTGAGGTGCTGTGCTCTGGGGGCTTCTGTAGGGGAGGGATGTGGTTGTTGTGTGATGCTCTCTGGGCAAGGACAGATCTGTATGTACCTCGGTAGACAGCAGTGCATTTGCATATTCACGAGGCAGGTATTTCATAGCTCAAGCCACCTCAACCTGAGGAAGAAGATAGGTGACACACGGACCACGCCACAGTGGGATGCAGAGCTCCCTGCCCTGAACTTTGTTTAATGATATTTGCCCTCTGTTATGCTCAGAAGTCCATGAAGACAGAACTCGTTTTACAGAAAACCAGAATCTCCCAGGACATTGTCCTCAATGTCATTTCTTGTTCATATGGCACCCTGACAACCTGAACTTTTCCTGGGCCTTGACCTCTGCACATCTAAATTCTGGGATGAGTGTATCTTCCGACAGTAACACCCATTGAATTAATAAAACCACTCTTCAATTCCTAACTATAAATACATTTGAAAAGACCAGACATTTCTCCTTTTAAATGCTGTTTGCATTCAATTATTTGGTTAGGTATAGGCTACATATATAATAGAATACTTAAAGACACATCAGTACTTACTACATTCTTATTTAGATTTTAGGTTATTATTGCTTTGAAATAAAGAACATTCAATTCCTGAGAGAAAACCCCTCCCCAGCCTCCTGTGCACCTGCTCCAGGGCTGGATCCTGTGCTGGGTGCGCCCTGAGCGCCCCCTGCAGCTCAGCTCCTGCCCTGCAGGAAAGTTCCTGTCTGGGCTCATAGAGAATTCTCCTCCCAGCGTCTCAAGCACAGTATGAAGTGGCCTTGCCCTGACTCAGAATGCTCTTTCAATGGCAGCAATTGCTTCTCCCACCATCTCTTACAGTAGCAAATAGGCCTTAGAACACCCGACATAATCTACCGGGAGACCTCAGCACAGCAACAAGGAATCACTAAAGCCACCAGGGAGCCCCTTCCCTGGAGTTCTAGGTGCACTGATAGGGTCCGGACACATGGCAAGTCTAGGAACCGATGGGAACTTTGGGGCAGCCTCTATTTTTTTTTAGGATTCTGTGGTTGACGATCACATCAGATTGTAACTTTACACAAAGACCCTATGTCTCAAAGCACCCCCCCACACACACACACACATACACTCACAGTGGCACATTTGCACAGTAACGAGACTCAGATTTGCCCTCCTTCCAAGTGTCTCAATGAAAAGTGCTTCCAACACTGGCCATAGTCCTGCTTGTGTTTGTTGTTGTTATTTTTTCCAGACAGAGCTAAAGCAAGCTCAGTATTACTGGAGATTTGGGAAGTGCCTTCATGTTCTCTTTGCCAGTTCTCACCTGGGAACCCTGCAGATGCCCCATGAGAAGTAAATCTAAGGCCATTGAGGGAGAGGCTGTGACCTTGGTCCTGAAGCTGTTGTTCTCAGAGGCTTTGAATCACTTCACTGTCCTTGACTTGTTCTCTCCCACTGCCTTTGGTTTCCCTAAGTTGTAGTGTTTGGACAGAGTCTGTGCATTATCACACTTTTCTCTTTAATCCAGATTAATCCTATTGGTGAGGAGGGGAGGTAATGCAGTGGACAGGGGAGCAGTATATGTTCTGGAAATTGACTTCCAATGTTTTCTTGCTGTGTTTTCTCTAGGCTGCACCCTTTACAAGGAGTCTCCAGTGGTACAGCGGATTTTCCTCCATCCTCCACTCCCCTTCCTGGCTGCAGCATCCACAGATTATTTTCTTGAATCTGACCCCAGTTGTTTATTAATTATACCCCTTTTCATGACACGGGAAGGCTAAGATGAAGCTGTCTGGGATGGAAAAGAATCCCTTCCTCTCACATAGAATAAAGATCTTGAAAAGTATTTTGTCTCTGTAGCATCTGTTAGGAGAAAGTTCTGGGCATATTTATCACAGAATAGTTCTCCTGACGACAGAGCTACGAGTGATTCTGTTTGGACTCTCATCTTGAGAACCCAGAATTTTCTGGAGGGAAATTCCATGATAGTGTGGGGTGTGTGGCCCCCCAGGAGTTCTTACCCCATCCCTGTCTACACCTGTCCTCCAGACATTTATGGAATTACCATGTTTCCGCCAGCTTGTGCTGTCAACTGAAGAATCACCCAATTTATTGATTTAGAAAGGGGACTTTATTTCTGAGAAAGGATTGAAGCTGCAGGACGGCCATCTTAACAGGCTGGGAAGCAAAGCCTCCCACAGAGACATTGAGCAGGTACTTCAAGACAGGGAAAGACGAGAAATGAATTCATGTGAATGGGTTGGCCAAGTATACACACTCAGCAGGCTATAGGAGCTGTGGATATTCACATGGCAGGCATGCTCTCAGGTCTAATAATCAGACAGACACGCTACATGCACTTCATGTTTGCTTTGGGGTGAGGACTTAAGAACTAACTGAATTACAGTTGGGCCCTGCACATCAAAAGGGCTTTGTGCAGGGGCGGAAAAAAACACAGTGCACAGCCTCTGGAAATTGGTGAGGCCAAGTCTATGGTCAGTGGTCTCTTTTCAGGAGAAAGTTACTGAAATCCATCTCTTGTCCAATCAAAGCTCTATTTATGGCTTGTGAAACAAGGTCACAATTACTCCATGTCTGAAGTTCCATGAACTGCAAATGTTTTAATATTGCTTATCTCAGAACCAGTGTTTGTTTAGCTGTTAGAGAAAAACAAAAAGCCCTGTGGCAGTTACAACATAGTCTATTTTTTAAGTGTAGGGGTGAGTGACTTAATCCCTGCCTGGCATGGCCTTAGGTCTTGTTTATAATTGGGTATCTTATTGCCACAGAAAGTTTGTCCCGTCAGTGTTATGATCTCTATTTTAATGTCTTTCTAGTTTTTGGGTCCTGGTTTTCCCTGCAATTTCATTTCTTCAATAGATCCAAGAAATCATTGATAATCAATTTTCCAGACTTTTATTATGGTAAGAATGTGGGTGATGATTGACATGCTCTTTACATATTAAAGCAGAAATCTGAAGTAGCTTCAGAGATCACGAGTGACGTGAAACAAGTAGAAGGAATCTCATCTCATTAAGTGTAAGTGGCACCACACAGATATAGCTCAACATACAGTGACACAGAAGAATCACAGCACATGACACATATGTAAAGTTTTTATGATTCTGAGCCTTTGCCCAGGAAGCTGTAACTCAGATGGTACTACAGGGATGGACTCAGTTCTCTCTCAGGTGATACTGTTTTGGAAGCTTATTTCCACTCTTGCACTGGATTCAGTAGCTGCACCTGGGCCCATACCCCTAAAACAAACTCTCATTAATTAAACACAAGACCCATCAATAAGAAAGTTGTCCCAGGGAAGGTGCACAGCAGGGACCTCTGCTTTTGGGAACCTGTGGCTATGCAGGCAGGGTCAGGAGTGTGACCCATTTTCTTCTCCTCCCCCTGCCTGCTGCACAGACAACTAAAACCAGGAGCTTTCCATTGCTAAGTATATAAAATACGTGATAGTTCCAGGGAAATGTAATACACATATGAAGGAATGAGGAACCTACATAAAATTAAAATAAAATGAATATATTAAATATACAACACTGTAAGAGATAATCACGGAAAAGACAACAAATATAAAAAACCTGTGTGTATACGTGTGACATAGTGTTCTTGTAAATTAAATCGTAATTTGCTTATGAAGTCCTTCAAGTAGGTACAGAATATTTGCCTTTTGATTGCCACAAAGATGAAGAATCTGGCACCAAGACTCCAGGGCCATGCTAGTGACTTTCCCTCCTATCTCCTGAGGACACCGTGCTTCCAACTCTGAGGATCAGGATACTGAAATTGACTGTGTGAGAAGAGAAAGTGGGATTTTCTGTGGGAAAAGACTGCTTTGAGCATAATTTTCAAGTAATAAATATATTCTACCAGGAGACACACTGCCATCATGCTGACGGTGTATGTTGCTTTTGACATTAACATTATGATCATCAATATTATTGGGGTGTTCCCTAGAAAATGACCAATTATCACAGAATTAACGAGTCATTTTCATTTTAGTTTTTTTTCACACTTCCAGCTAAATCCACTGAGTTTACTGAGTTTGAGCATGGAAATTTCAGGGCATGGGTTACAAATGATGGAGTGGAAGTTTTCCTGGGAGTTAGATATAGTTTCGCTAAAGGAGAACCAAGGATTTTGCTAGAAGCTCCCCTCCTGGTCTATCCCAGCACCTGCTCCTCAGTGTGCCCCTTCCTGTCTGACTCCTAAGCATCTCTGTGGTCCTGGACAATGCATGTCTGGGGCATCTGTTTCCTAGATGTGCATCCACAGGGCAGGCTGCTGTCCCTAATTGTTGAGAGGGAGCTTGGCCTGGATCCACCCAGGTGGCCCCACCCTGAGCACTGAGCTTCCTCCCAGCAAGGAGACAGGGTCAGCTGAGCGCCTCCACTTCACAGAAATTCTAGGAGGCAAATTCAGTCAAATCTCAACATAGTTTTGGCATGCAATCCAGCACCCATGCTCCTAGGTATTTATCTATCTGACTTTCAATGTATGACCACAAAGAAAACTACACATGAATAATCACAGTAAGTTCATTCATATTTGTCAAAACTAGGAACACTCAAGAAGTTCTGTAGGTGAGTAGATAAACAGTCGGCGGTAAATTCATAGAATAATATTCAGCAATTATAAACAAGAGCTATCAAACCATAAAAATACATAAATGAATTTTAAATGCATATTGTTAAGTGAAAGAAACAAGTCTGAAAAAGCTACATAATATGTTATTTATTTGATATTCTGGAGAAGTCCAAACACACAAAGTGATTCTGTATTTGCGAGAAATTTAAGGAGATGATGAAAATGGGTAAAAAATAGATTTAAAAGGGTGATGAAAGTATTATGTATAATATTATAATGGTAAATATGTGATATGAATTTGTTGAAATCAACAGAATATACAGCATAAAGGGTTAATTCCAATTCACAAAAATATAAATAAATAGGAGATTAGGAATTC